>NW_025791777.1:1636026-1791212 GCF_000001405.40 Homo sapiens | reverse complement strand
TTAGTACAATATGTTATGAGTTTCCTTCGCACATTAATATTATCAGCTCTTCATTTTTTGTTGTTCACAATATATCTTCAACTACCTTTTTATTTTTAGGCAATGTACATATTACAATTTAAGAATAACATCTTCTTTGTTAAATATTTATTTCCACCCCTTTTCAGAAAATTAGATGGTTTACATTTATTGTTAGAAATAATATAAAGCTTTTCTGGTTTTGTGCTTCTAAATAATATTATTAATATATTCTTTTGTAATTACAAAAGCTCCTTGTTTTTGTTTTGTAATTCCTTTCTCAATAAAATAGAGCTGCAAATATTTTGTTCCTTTAAATATTTCAAATAAATAATTTTCATTTATAATAAAAAATATAAAATATGCCAAAGAATTTATTATTTCAAAAAATATGTCATTCACCAATTTGCTTTTAGATTTGTGAATACAGTCTCATTTTATTTTAATACTTTAATCATAGATCTTAACTTTTTTATAATTAATTTTAATTTGTATTTAACATGGTAATAATATTTTTACTTAATTTTATATTGTTGGGTTAGTAGTCACTGTTAGTACACATAACTATTTTACTTTTTCAACATGTAATTTTCATTAATCTTATTCAGATAAAGTTCATTTTCACTATTTTTCTTCAATTGGAAATATTTCATATTTTAAAGACTTCCATTCCTAACAAATGTGGAATACAACATTTTTAGCTCAAAATATTTTTCAAAACAAAACAGAATTTTTCCAGTCTTCACATATAAAACTAAAGCAACAAGCTCAAGTCTATCCAGACATTTTATACTTCAGAAACGAAAATACTAATCTTACGTGTTTATGGCGGATGTTTTTCTTATAATTTTAGTTAAAAAATATTTGTAGAAGGTTTTTATAGTAATATAGTCAGAAAATTAGTCTGCATTTTTACCTACAAATTAAGCAGTATTTTAAAAATTAGCTCAGGAAATTTTATTTTATATTGTATTTTAGTCTGTATTTGAATGATATTTAAATTCTTAGATTTTCACTTTAGATGTGGGAACTCAGGTGCTTAATTCTATCCTCTTTAATTTTATATCTGTGATTTCTTCTGCTTTGTTTTCAGTTCTATTTTTTTCCTGCACTGCAAAAGAGTTTCTAAAGGTTGTATTTAATATTACAAGCTTCATTTAGTGCTCTATCATTTGGCATTTACATTTTTACATAGTTTTAAAATTATATATATTTCTTTGTATTTTTTATCTAATTTTATACAATTTTAAAAATCATGCACCTCTAATATCTATTGACTAGGTTTAGCTTTCATTTCAGAGATAACATTAATAGTGAAAAATATTATCTTAAATGCAAAGATATTCATTATTTAAAAATTGATCAATGACATTCATTAAATTATCACAGGGACAAAAACATAAAATGATCATCTGTAGAGATGCAGAAAAATAATTTGACAAAATTCAGCACTGATTTATAAGAATTATCAGCAAAATAAGAACAGAAATGAAAATTGACCAACAACCAGAAATGACAGCAACAACAAAATACCAAGTCAGTAAAGATGGAGAGAAATAGGGAAGCAGTGAAGGTAGATGTCATTTCTGTTTTTAGTGGTGGAGTACAAGGTGTTCTTGTGCTTAAAGGTCATGTTCTTGTGATAAAACGCACTGCAGAGACAACACAGTTTAATTGGCTGAGGCAGGTGACTCCCTTTAAGCATCAGGGTGGAACAAACTACACGACAAAATGTAATTTTAAAGACCACTCTCATTCAAATGTAATAATATCAAAGCACCCTTAACTCATTAATGAGTGAAACAATGAGTGTCATGGTCTGAACTGTGTTCCCCTCCCCAAACCCGTATGTTCAAGCCCTAACCCCTAGTTATACACATAAGGTAAATGAAACCTTATTTGGACACAAAGTTTTTGCAGATGTAATCAAGCTAAAATTATGTCTGTAGGTGGGACTTAAAATAACATGGGCTGTCTTTATAAGAAGAGGGAACAGAAACAGATAGGATGTGGAGAGGACCATGTGAAGAGAGAAGCTGAGACTGAAAAGGATTTATGTATTAATATTGACAGAAGCCAAGGAACACCATCTGAAGTTCTGATGGCAACATCAGAAGCTAAGAGAAAGGCATGGAAAAGATTCTCACCTAGAGCATCCAGAGGAGAGGTTGGTCCTGCAGACACCTTGTTTTCTGACCTCTGACCTCCGCAACTGTGAGGGAAGAAATTTCTGTTGCTTAAAGACACACAGCTTGTGGTACTTCATTATAGCAGCCCAAGGTAACTAATATAGATGACAAAATTGGTTCCAAGGGTGTTTGAGGAACTGGACCTTTATAGGCATTATTTTCATAATACTGCATTAAGCTATGATAACTGGATTAGATTCAAAATTGGATAATGCCCTAAATGCAATAAAGCTATAATTTTGAGATAAAATTTTAATAGCTTTATGAGATATAATTAACATCTGGTATACTGCACATTTTTGAGGTGTGAAATTTTTAAACATTAACATACGTATATACTTGTAAAACTATCACACTAGAAAGAGATCTCAAGCCTCTTCTTTTGACTTTCAACACATTGTCAATCCAGTACTAATCTGGTTTTATTACCATATATTAGCTTTTATTTTCTACAATTATATATCAGTAGAATTATAGAGTATGAATTCTTTTTGTCTTTTTTCCTTAAGCATAATATTTTTGAGATTCAACAATTTCTTGCATGTTGAAGTAGCACTTTTTTATTGTTACATATTATTTCATTTCATAGACATACCACTATAATTTATTTACTAAACTCTTGACCAGAGGTTCTCAAATGAGGGACATTTTACCTGCCAGGGGACATTTCCAATGTTTGGGGACACTTCTGGTTATCAGAGGTTTGTGGAGGAGGGGATAGAGTGTCCACAGGCCAGGGTTCCACAAAGGATAGCTCCCCACAACAAAGAATTAAGCCACTTCAACAGCTAATAGTGCTGAACTTGAGAACGCCGCTCTTGGTGGACAGTTGCATGGTGTCTGTTTTTGACAATAATGAATAAAGGTACTTGTGCAAGCCTTTTTACAGACTTATGCTTTTCTCCCCCCTAGGATAAATGCCTAGGGGTAGAATTGGTACATGTAAGGTAGATTTAGTTATCCAAAGTAGCTGTACTGTGTTACACTCCCACCGTCAATGTATGCAAACTCTAGAGTCTGGTTTCTTGACATCTATGCCAAATATTGGTAACACAATTTTTAAAATAGTAGCTTTTCTAGTAGATGTGTATAATTATCTCATTTTATTTTTTATTACTAACGATATTAAGAAATTTTTCATTTGCTTATTTGCTATTATATCATTTTTGTGTAGCATCTGTTAGTTTTTATAGCTCTCTTGTTTCTATGTTGTACATTATATTTATATATTCTTGCTCTTATTCATAATAAATAGTATATATAATTGTGTAATTAAAAATAAACATTAAAGTATAAATATATTTACACATTTCTGTAGTTTATCATTATATAATTATTGCTTTCTGAATAAAAAGAAATGTATCCACAGTTTGGATAAAAAGAAATGCTTTCATGTAGTTTACTAAGACATTTTCTGTGCTTTATATTTGAAGCCTATGCTTTCACTTTTACACATTGTTCCATAATATATTTTGGACTCCTTTAATTTTGAACTCATTCACGCTTTTGTTGTGAGGAAGGACTTGAGGTTTGTTTTCTTCACATTTATCTCGTAGTTCTGCACACTTTGTTAAATAAAATTATCTTTCCCCTTTGAATAACTGCAGTATCTTTGATATTATATTATTCATATAAGCATGGATCTATTTGTGAACTCTATTCCATTCCATTACTCTAATTGTTTATCCATATACTAATAACACATTCTCTCGATGACTATAGCTTTAAGTTATTGCATGGTGTTAGGAAGTGTGAGTATTCCAACTTTTTTTTCAGCTTTCTATCATTTGTTTTTGCTCTCTTGATGTACATTTTTAAATCAGTGTGTCAATTTATATAAAAATATCTTTTGTGATTATGGTGAGGATTTCTAGAATGATTAATTTGGAAAAACCAAAACCTTTTACACACTAAAATTCACTGAACTTTCAAGCCATGATTATTGTATTAGTTTGTTCCGGCATTGCTATAGAGAAATACAGAAGATTCAACAATTTATGAAGAAAAGAGGTTTAATTGCCCCACTGTTCTGCAGGCTATACAGGAAGGATGATGCTGGCATCTACTTAGCTTCTGGGAAGACTCAGGAAACGCACAATCATGGCAGAAAGCAAAGGGGGACAGGCACGTCACATGGCCAGAACAGCAAGAGAGTGAAAGGGGAAGCTGCTACACACTTTTAAATGACCAGATCTCATGAGAACTCACTCACTCACTATTATGAGAACAGTATCAAGAGGGATGATGCTGAACCACTCATGAGAAATCCACCCCATGATCCAATCACCTCCCATCAGGCCTCACCTCTAACATTGGAGATTACATCATACCAGATTTGGGCAGGGACACACATCAAAACCATCAATTATTGTATGCGACTCCATTTATTTAGAACTTTCCTACATCTCCCAACACTTTTGCTAGTTTCCTATTTAGAGAGATCTTGCATGTAATTTGTTAAAATCATATATACATATTTTATTTTTATTAGTATTTTACATGGATTTGATTTTTATCATTAATTGCTCATTGGAAATATATAGAAATAAGTTAATGGGTTGACTTATTTTTTCTATGATGTGGCTAAAATTACTAGTTTATTCCAGCAGCTGATTTTTACAGTCACTAGAAGTTTATGTGTAGGTAATGGAGTTGTTTAAAAATTTAGAATTGTATTTTTCATTTCTTAACTGTGTATGTTTTACTTATTTATTTGATTTGTCTCACTGGTTAATTCCTCCCATACAGTAGAGAGAACAATAGTGAAAGAGGACACTTTGTCTTCTTCTGGATCTTAAATGAATAATTTATTAGTTCAAACTTCAGTGTGATATTTCCGTAGATGCCTTCTATTTGCTTAAGGATGCTTCTTTGTATTCTATTGGGGCGAGATATTTTTATTATAATTCTATCTTGAAAATGCCAAATGTTTTTTCTGCCTCAGAGGAAGTTTATATATTTTTTTCATTTTACTCAGTTAATGTGGTGAGTTTGAAAATTCAAATACTTGAAAAATCACGTTCCCATCAAACACTGCTTCTTACTGTCCCTTTCTAAGAGGACTACCTTCAACTTGGGCATTTAGAGGATACTTCCCTTCCTATAGCTCAGGGTTTTTTTGTATTTTTTTTATGTTTAAATTTTAGTGATATTTCTTTTATGTGTTTTTAAAATATTTTATGGGCTACTGCATTGACCCATTTGTTTCAACTTTACAGCTCTAGTTAAATATAAAAATTAATAAAATGTCAACACTCAAGTATTACATATATCCCTTGATCTGGTGATTTAGGACTATGAGAAAAATGCTCAATTTCCCTCGATAGAAGGAAGTATGAACTTTTTTATTTATTTATTACTGTAGTCTCACAGCCTAAAAATCAGTAGGTCTCCACTGGTCAGCAAGCAAATGATCATGATTGTTTTTCTGAATTTTTGACAATTTCAGAATAGGCAAGAAAGCTAAGTTTTAAAAATAAAATGCCAACATCAAGAATTTAAAATCAAATTCATCACAGTGAATCCCAACAGGAAATAGTTCTTCATTTTATGATTACTCAGAGATTTTGCTTGTTGTAGTGGTCTTCCTTCTGGCTCATAATTTTTTGCTACTCTGCAGCAGAAATAATAAGAAATATTTTCCCAGTCCACAGCGGTGAAGGAGAAGAAAACTATAAATCAAAAGTAGCATATTCTGTGGATCATTTATTGAAATAAACACAGTGAGTACAAGATGGGTAATCTATTTGCATAATCAAAGACACCCTTCATCTGTGTCTATTTTTCTCTTTTCTTTTCTTTTCTTTTTTTTTTTTTTTTTTTTGAGACAGAGTCTCACTCTGTTACCCAGGTTGGAGTGCAGTGGCATGATCTTGTCTCACTGCAGACTCCGCCTCTCGGGTTCCAGCAATCTTCCTGCCACAGCTTCCTGAGTAGCTGGCATTACAAGGTATGGGCCACCATGCCCGGCTAATTTTTGTATTTTTATTAGAGATGGGGTTTCGCTATGTTGGCCAGACTGGTCTTGAACTCCTGGCCTCAAGTGATCTGCCCGCCTCAGCCTACCAAAGTGCTGGGTTACAGGCATGAGCGACTTGCCTGGCTATGTCTATTTTTAACATAGTTATAGTGAACTATAATTATTTTTACACAAAAACTATTCTTACAAATGTTATATGTATTTTAAGAGCATACAAACTTACAGGTTTTTTTATTTAATAAAAACCAGTGGCAGATTGATAATGCAGAATATATTATTTATAAAAAATCATTTGTTGTCATACAAACATATATTTTATTTGAAAATTATACTTTTGAATAGCTTTTTGGAAAGTTAAAGTATTCTCATTTATTGCATACGTTTGTCACCAAAATTATACGAAAGAGTGTTTGATTCAAAATGTGTGTGTGTGTGTGTTCCTATATAGGACCCAGATAACACATATATATTAAATAAATAAATACATGTATATATATATATCATGCACACACATTTAAATATAATGTAAATGTGTGTGTGTGTGTGTGTGTGTGTGTGTGTGTGTATGTGTATGTGTATGTGTATGCAGATGCCCCTCTGGAAACAAATTTAAAAAGAATCCCCTCTTTTGAGTGTATAAAGAAGTTCCTTTCTTAAGGAATGGATAACAGGGGTTGGTACTTTGGCTGAATTCCTCTTCCTCTTACTTTCATTAGACTTGGCACTGTTGCATAGAACACAATTTTCCAAAATGTAATGTCTGTGTTATGCCTACAAATGTACCATACATAACAATTTGTCATTTTCTGTAATTACATACTGACCTATTTAACATTTATCTAACCACTTATATATCTTAATCAAAATAAATCAACCCATGTAAATTGTTTATTTCTATTGTCTTTCTCAGTATAATGCACAAGATACCTTTCTATCTCTATATGTATTTGTCATTTTCATGTCTGTCCCTACATGAGTTGACTCTATTTTTCTGTTACATAGATATGTGATGTTAGTACAATATATGTTAACTAAAAATGGATGATGCAACCTTTTAAAATTATGACCATCGCAGTGAAAATTATGTCTCTAAAACCCAATGACCACAGGGACATTCCAGTTTTTAGAAAAATATCAGGGGCTTAGGTATTTTCAGATTAAATTAGGAAAAATAGAGTATCTTTCCATTTATTTATGTGGGCAAATTTCCCATTTGTTCACATTAAATCTTTTAATGGCATATTGCCTAAATCTTTCTCAGAAAAGCTTAGCCAAATTGCCTAGGATGTTTCCTTTCTCCCATATTACCATCACTGTTTACCATCATATTTCTAATAATTTTAATTTTGGAACATGAAAATGGTATTTCAATTTAAATGCGTATGTTTTTCTATTTGCAAAGAGATTAAACATCTCTTCAAGTTTTTAAACTATATGCAGCCCTTCTTTTCTGCCATACCTGTTCATTTCCTCAAGCTATTTTTCCATCAGACAGTTTCATGTTTTCTCATTGATTTGAAGCTTCTATTAAAGTATTGTATACACATGGGTAAATGCACATAAGTTTAAAGCTTAGTGAGTTTTAAAATACTATGATCATCCAGAATAAGAAAATGTAATAGTCACACACCTGATTTCCACCCATCCCTCCTAACATAACACTATTCTAACTTTTACCAGTAAGGAATCAAATAGTGTGTGTAGTGTTTTGAACCACATTTTTTTGCTTAATATTATATTTGTGAGACGAATTGACTATATGACCTGCAAATGAAACTATTTATATTTATTTCTCTAATATTTTATTAGGTGATCATATTACAACTTATTTGTTTACTGTACTCTTTATAAGTATTTTAGTCCACTTTTGGGCCACAGTTTGGGGTTATTTTGGTGTTATTCTGAAAAGTGTTTTCATGAGTACACATTTTTTTTTAGCTATATATATGCATGCATTTCTGGAGAAACCATCTTTACAAGTAGAATTTTGGGGCCTAATACATATCTTTATCCAAATTATTTGAACTAAGTTATGCCAATAACATCAATTTGAGTGTTCTAATTAGTCAACATTCTCATCAATACTTTGCACTTTCTCTTCAACTTAGAATTCTAAAATATTCCTTTCAAATTCAGGATTCTGAATGACAAGTACTTACATCTCATTGTGGTTTGAATTATTTTTTCAGGTAACCAATATAAATAAAAACCTTTTAATAAGTTCATTGGTTATTTGAATATTTTATTTTTGAAGTGTCTAAGATATTTTCTTTCTAATCCAGTCCAGTTATTTTTCTGTGGTTTGCTTCTTGTTGTCTTATTGAGTTCATTGCCTTTTTAATATTCTTTTCCGGTTAACATTTCCCCCTCATTGATCTGAAATGTTTTCATTATATACCACCTTTCCATATCTGTCAATGTCTTGATTTTCTATATGATCTTCATCTATCTGTAGTTATAACTCATTTTAATCATAGAAGCTTTAAGAATTGCTTAATATTTTGTATTGACTCCAAATTCCATTGATTTTATAGGATATTTCTAGCTATTCTTGCTTCTTTATTCCTCCAAGTAAATTTGTCTATTTTTCTAAATCTGGAAAAAGAAATTCTAGAAAATGTCGTTTTGTTATGACACAGAAGATATAAGTTTATTTAAAGAACTGGCACATTTATGATTTTAAGGCTTTTTCAAGAGCATGGAATTTCTTTCCCCGTGCTCAAGTCCAAATTTGTGCCATTCAGAAGTGTTTTCTAGTTTTTTTTATATATAGGTTTTAAACATTTCTGGTTAAGTTTATGCCCTCACATTTTATTTTAGTTTGGTTAATGACGTTTTACATGTGTGAGTTCCCTCAATTATTTGTTTTAAATGTTCTGATTCAATAGGAACACTCTCCTTAGTATCCTTAACAGAAATGATTCTTGTTTATAGAATTGCTAAATAAGTAAAGAAATTTTAAGTTAAATCATGGCAAGGAGTTATAATTATACTAAGCTTTTTTGTTCCTAGAGGTTTTGGCTCACTCGTATGGTAATCTATATGAAAATTTTTCTGTGATATCTAATATTAGAAAGATCCTCAGTGATAGAATAGTGTTTCTTCCTAGCTGATTCATACATCTTTCTCTGCCAACATTTTGTTTGTTGAAGTGTTCCCCAACATATGACTCATTGCTTACTAAATCCCTATTGAGCAGCCAAAGCCCTGGTGACTAATTATGTCATTAATTTGGGAAAGTCAGAGACAATAAGACTGTCAGTTGAAACTTTGTAGGAGGTAAAAAAGTCACTGCTGTCAGCTGCAAAGATCCTTAAAACGGTCTTCAGTAAAGTCAAATTTTGTGACAAGAATTATTGCATCAAAGTCGGGGAAATACCTCTTAGATCAAATAAGATACATTGAAAAGCCAAAAATTATTTTTATCTCACTTTGGGTTCTCATAAGGTCTACCCACTGTTACTTGGATATGAGACTTAACAAATGGAAAAGAAGACAGGGGTACTGTCACACTGTATTTTCCTACGGCCTAATGACCACAATGGTTGATGAACTGCAGTAAAGTTTCTATAATATTTTCCATCTATTCATTTGCTCAATCACCTTGTAATGGTTATGTTGGTTAATTCCAGTCTTTCATGGGTAAGCAACAAAATGAGACTTAATTTGAAATATCCAGTATTTTTCTATTCTTACAAATAATTTTCAGGATCAATGCACTGAGGATTAGGAATGGCAATGTGTATTACTACTTTGATACCAACTATATCCAATCTAATGTTGGAATTTGTTTGACAAAGTGTTGTGTATTTGAAAACAGGCAGCACTGAATAAAAAGAATATGGGCAAAAGAAAAATGGAAGTGTTTTGAATGGAAGTCTAAAATATTTATTGATCAATGCTGAACTGAGTAAGCAGGAGATGCCTGTACATAAATGACATTATCCTGATCTAGTAACAGGGAGAAGCAGAATATCTGAAAGCTGTTTATTAATTTGATAATAATAAGATTAGAAACATGCAAATCAAGATTAATAGTATTCACTTCTAATTGGGTTTAGGTAGACTTTGACTATTTTGCTTCTGATGTTCTTATATTTTTAATTTTCTATAATGATCATATAACATATAATATTTTCATAATATTAAACATTTTAGAATTAAACTCCATTAGAGTGTATCTTTCCTAAAATAATATAAACATCTAATCTTGTCCTTAACAATTCTGTTCTCAAACATTAGCCTATTCCCTCAAGCCAGTGTTGCTTTCGACCCATATTGTCCATCATTTCAATTTATCTCAAAGTTTTTTATTGCAACAATTAAATGCTTTGAATGATACCCAAGGCATAGTTCTATTTCAACAAAATTTCAAAGTTAATAGTTACATCAAATTTTGTTGGTGCTCATTGAATTTGGTTATTAAAACCATAAGTAGTATGTTTTATGCTGACTGAGGGAGATAAAAGTAGTAATGTTTAATATTCAAACTGTGATGACTGAAAAAAAAATGAGGCCTGTAAAATCTTATTTAACGTCAAATTTTAATTAAACAGGCTTAGCAGACCAAAATTAAAATCTCAATTATTTTTAAATTATTAATGACAGACAACTAGATTGAGTGAACACTGGCATCTCTTTTCAAATAACTTAGTTTAGTGGATGAGTTAAACATAAACTAGTTATTATAATGCAGCGAAGTATGTGAAAAATTTAATTTGAACCCTACTTAGCTTAAAATCCTGACATTCTAGGATGCAAGTCCTGCAAACTTTCCATATGTAATCAACAATTTTCTAAACATGCATGCTGTATCTCTCCTGTGTGACTTTGCATACATCATTCCCACATTCTAGATCATCCCGACCCACCTTAAGTGACTGCTTTTGCATAATCTCCCTTAAAATTCTAACTCAAGCACTGCATCTTTTGAGTCCTTCCCTAACATCTTAACATCTTCCTTCTTTCATTCATCATTAACTATAGTTAGTTATTATAGCACCTGTTAGCACTGTAAAATTATGTGTGTTACACAAGTACAACATGCAGACTAAGGTCGTGTATTACCTAGCCTCATACCAGCGTCACCTAGAACAGCAAAAATGTATGCAGATTAATCACAATATATTTGGATGTACAAAATATATTGAGAGCAAAATATGATGGAAATTTAGGTGATGCTCTTTGAGCATTGCTTCCATTTTCCAATAATGTAACCAGGAATCACTGTTCATGTAATTAAAGAACAATAAGTCTATGTGAATCAAAATATACATATACATGCAAATGTTAAACCTCAGCAGGAAGAGGCCCATTCTCTTGCTTGCTGATATATATATATATATATATATATATATATATACACACACACACACACACACACATATATGTATGTTGTGTGTATATGTATATACACACAACAATCTATAGGCTTGCCTTTTAAAATAGTATAAGCAACAAATTTTAAGAGAAACAATAATGAGTGTGTAAAACATTAGATATGTGTATGTACCTTTGCTATTATTTGTGGAAATGGGGCTATAAAATAAGCTCCTTTATTTTCTTTTGTAAAACATTTCTTTAATATGAAGTAATGCAATACGTATTTATGTTCTAAGTGTTAATTTCCTTGGATATAAAATAATATCTTGTTCCTTTGATTCTCTTACATATAAGTGTATTTACTCAGATATTACTCCAAATACACCAGATATATTCAAAGTTGAAAAAATATATACTTTGGAATGTATTATCACCTTATTTCACATGAAGAAATCAAAATCTCTGGCATCCAAGTGCATTCCAGCCTGAAAAAAATTATGCAATTGTGAATTTAACAGAAAGCAAATTGCTCACATATGGAGTCAACGTGAAGCTATATCAATATTTATTAAAAGTTTATATATTACTTTTGATCCCCTGGAGAGAAATACAAAATTCAAATAATTATTCTATTTTTATATCCCAATTTGTAATTATGAAACTCTAGCATTTTAATTTTTCTCTTTCAAGTTTACCTGAAGCTTCACAAAATTCTGTGAGGAATCTATTATAACAGGTATTTTGCTTATTTCCACACAAACAGAAGGAAATGTGTATTTTCTATGCCCTGAAGAATTTACTCTTTTCTGTAAATGACATATGGTAGTTAATTCTTTTTGGTAATAAAATATTCCTGTTTTTAGGCCGAACAGCCTTTTCTTTAAATTCAGGGCAACATATCAAAGCTTTGCCGTAATAATACAGAGTAATCGACTAAAGTAATATAGAATTTAAATAACAAAGAGTTTAAACAATTTAATATGTCTTCTATTAATTTCAAACTGAAATTTTACAGAAATTATTTGGAATATGCTGCCAGAGTACACACACACACACACACACACACACACACACACCACACGCTCACATCACACACTCACACCCAGCTAAAGGAAATTACCACAGCTATAATGATTTCATTAAATATCTGAAATTAAAGTTTCTTTTGGATTTTCAGCTGAAGCTCATAGTAAATAAAAGTAATATGATCATTGTTGCATACTGTGAATCAACAGCACCCAGAAACCTTCGACTTTCTATATTTACACAGCTTAATTATCCGAACTGAAACCTGAGGCCATCTGTGTCAACATGATTTCACAATTCATTTTTCAGGAAAGTAAGGCTGCAAACCAATAAATAACTTATTGTTTGCTTCAGGAAATTTCTGCAAATCAATTTATGTCAGTAAGCAACTCTCCTCTGGGCCAACAGATTGCTCACCTGGGCAGGTAGCAGCTTGTGTCAATTAACAGTTTACTTATGAAGACTTCTGTCATGGCCCTTAACTCACAGTGTCCCCCAATCCTAAACTCTATGTCCTGAACATTACCTATTCTTATCAGTCATTGGTCTTGAAAGGCCCCGGGCAACCATTTGAGCCCAGACTTCAATACTCTATCAATACCACCTTATCATCTACTTTTCTAACATGACCCCTCAAGGTGGTGACCCCACTTACAGTCGTCTTTTATTGAATTTAGCTTTCCCTAATCAACATGCTAGTCTATTGGATGCAGTGTCGGAGGCAAAAATCACAGAGGTTCTGAAAGCATCAGCCCATGGTTTTCTAAACATCATGGTTCAAGACCCTTAACACGAAACAGAAAGTTTCCCCGAGGCGCCGTAAACAACCCATTTGGGCGCTTCCCTGATAATTATAGTGAAATCTGGCATCTAATTTTTTTTGGTGGACTCTCAAATTTTATATTTATGTTTTGATTCCTAGAAATAAAAAATGTTTTTATAAGGAATTCTTTGATCGTTTATGTTTTATTCTTGATAGAAACCTACTACTTTATAACTTCGTTTATGTTTTACTCTTGATAGAAACCTACTACTTTATAACTTCGAACATTATTGATGTTCTTCCTGTATTTCTGAGAGGTGACAGCTTGCTGGCATCCCTCGCTGGCTCTCGGCGCCTCCTCGGCCTCAGCCCACTCTGGCCGCGCTTGAGGAGCCCTTCAGCCCGCAGCTGCACCGTGGGAGCCCCTCTCTGTGCTGGCTGAGGCCTGAGCGGGCTCCCTCTGCTGGCGGGGAGGTGTGGAGGGAGAGGCGCGGGCCGGAACCTGGGCTGCCTGCGGTGCTCGCAGGTCCAGCGCGACTTCCGGGTGGGCGCGGGCTCAGCGCGACTTCCGGGTGGGCGCGGGCTCGGCGCGCCCCGCACTCTTGAGCGGTCGGCTGGCGCCGCCGGCCCTGGGCAGTGAGAGGCTTAGCACCCGGGCCAGCAGCTGCGGAGGGTGCACTGGGTCCTCCAACAGTGATGGCCCGCCGGCGCCGCGCTCGAATTTTCGCTGGGCCTCAGCCACCTCCCCGCGGGGCAAGGGGGCAGGGCTCGGGACCTGCAGCCTGCCATGCTGGAGCCCTCACCCTCCTCCCCGCCCCCGTCCCCTGCCCCCCGCCCCCTGCCCCCCAACCGCAGGCTCCCGCGCGCCACCCCGAGGGGACGGGCGCCACCTCCTGCTACGCGGCACCCGGTCCCGTCAACCGCCCAACGGCTGAGGAGTGCGGCAGCGCGCCAGAGACTGGCGGGCAGCTCCGCCCGCGGCCGGGATGCACTAGGCAAAGCCAGCTGGGCTCCTGAGTCCGGTGGGTACTTGGAGAACTTACTACGTCTAGCTGGAGGATTGTAAATGCACCAATCAGCATGCTGTGTCTAGCTCAAGGTATGTGAACGCACTAATCAGTGCTCTGTGTCTAGCTAATCTGGTGGGGACTTGGAGAACTTTTGTGTCTAGCTAAAGGATTGTAAACAGACCAAGCAGCTCTCTGTAAAATGAACCCATCAGCTCTCTATGAAATGGACCGATCATCAGGATGTGGGTGGGGTGAGATAAGGGAATAAAAGCAGCTGCCAGAGCCAGCAACAGCAACGTGCTAGGGTCCCTTTCCACAGTGTGGAGGCTTTGTTCTTTTGCTCTTTGCAGTCTTGCTGCTGCTCACTGTTTGGCTCTGCGCAGAGCTGTAACACTCACCAAGAAGGTCTGCAGCTTCACCCAAAGATATTCCAAAGATACAGAAAACTATATAGAGACATTTTGTATAGTTCTAATAGCATATAATCCACAGGTCCCTGATCTATAATATGGGTTTTTTATAAAATTGTTTTTTTGTATGCTATGAGGAATTTTACTTGTTAAAAAGAAGAGGTGGAAAGGCAGAATATGAAAACTATGAAAATGACATAAGAGACTATGAATTAGGTGAGAAACCAGAGAGGTTTAGAAACCTGTAGACATTGTGCATCCCCCAATGCCTTTCCCCTTAAAAAAATATTATATTCTAGTCCAGTCCATCAAATAAAGTCTACATTCATTAGAAACATATTCTCTTGGTTTTTATAATTTCAGTTTTTTCCAGACACAGTGCATATGCAGATTTGTTACTTTTGTACAGTGCACCCTGGTAGTGAGCATAGTACCCAGTAGGTAGTTATTCAGCCCATGCTCCCCTCTCTCCCCCACCCCCATAGCCTGCAGCATGTCTTGTTCCCATGTTAATGTTCCTGTGTGCTCAGTGTTTAGGTTCCACTTATAAGTGAGAATGTGTGGTATCTGGTTTTCTTTTCCAGCACTAATTTGCTTAGGATTATGTCCTTAGCTCCATCCATGTTGCTGCAAAGGACATAATTTCATTCTTTTTTATGGAGGCATAGTATTCCATAGTGTATATGTACCACATTTTCTTTATCCAATCCACCTTTGATGGGCACCTAGGTTCATTCCATGTCTGTGCTATTGTGAATAACATGCTGATGAACGTACGAGTGCATATATATTTTTCTGGTAGAATAATTTATTTTCCTTTGAATATATACCCAGTAATGGGAATGCTGGGTCGAAGGGTATCTCTGTTTTAAGTTCTTAGAGAAATCTCCAAAATACTTTCCACAGTACCTGAACCAGTTTACATTTCCATCAACAGTAGTGTATAAGCATTCCCTTTACTCTGCAGCCTGGCCAACATCTAATTTTTTTTACTTTTTAATTATAGCTGTTGTGACTGATGTGAGATGGCATCTTACTGTGGTTTTTGCTTGCATTTATTTATTTGATGATTAGTAAGGATGAGTGTTTTTTCATATACTTGAGTGTCTTCTTTTGAGAAAATATCTGTTCATGTCCTTTGCCTTTTCTTGATTTAAATTTTAAGTTGTGGGGTACATGTGCAGGAAGCGCAGTTTTGTTACATAGATAAACGTGTGTGGTGGTGGTTTGCTGCACCTATCAACCCATCACCTAGGTATTAAGCCCAGCATGCATTAGCTATTTTTCCTGATGCTCTCCCTCTCCTCAACCCCCTACAGAAAATTATAGTGTGTGTTGTGTGTTGTTCCCCATTGTGTGTTGTTCCCCTCCCTGTGTCCATGTGTTCCCATTGTTCAGCTCCCACTTATAAGTGAGAAGATGCGGAGTTTGATTTTCTGCTCCTGTATTAGCTTTGCCCTTTTTAACTGGGGTTGTTTTATGCTTGTCATTTTTTCTTCCTTATGGATTTGTTATATTAGATCTTTATCAGATGCATAGTTTGCAAATATTTTCTCCCATTCTGTAAGTTGTCTGTTTACTCTGTGGATAGTTTCTATTGCTGTGCAGAAGCTTTTTAGTTTGATTGACTTTCACTTGTCAATTTCGTTTTTGTTGCAATTGTTTTTAGAAACTTAGCCAAAAATTATTTGCCAAGGCCAATGTCGAGAAAAATATTTCCTAGGTTTTGTTTTAGAGTTTTCATAATCTGAAGTCTTACATTTTAACCTTTAATCCATCTTGAATTAATTTGTGTGTGTGGTGGAAGGTAAGCATCCAGTTTCACTCTTCTGCTTATGGCTAGCGAATTATCCCAGCACCATTTATTGAATAGGGTGCCTTTTCCCCATTGTTTGTTTTTGTTGGCCTTGTCCACGATCCAGATGGTGGTAAGTGTGCAGCTTTATTTTTGAGTGTTCTATTCTGTTCCATTGGCTTAAGTGTCTGCTTTTGTAACAGTATCATGGTTAGTGTACACTTATAGTATAGCTGGAAATTGGGTAGTATGACGCCTCTCTGGCTTTATTATTTTTGCTCAGAATTGCTTTGGCCATTCTGGCTTTTGGGGGTGTTCCATATAAATTTAGAATAGTTTTTTCTAATTCTGTGAAGAATGATGTTGGTAGTTTCATGGAGATAGCCTTGAATCTACAAGTTGCTTTGGGCAGTGTGGCCATTTTAACAATATTGATTCTTTTAATCTGTAAACATGGAATGTTATTCCATTTATTTGTGTTATCAAAATCTCCTTCCTTCCTTCCTTCCTTCCTTCCTTCCTTCCTTCCTTCCTTCCTTCCCTCCCTCCCTCCCTCCCTCCCTCCCTCCCTTCCTCCCTTCCTCCCTCCCTTCCATCCTTCCTTCCTTTTCTTATTTCCTTCCTTTTTTGAGACAGAGTCTCACCCTTTCACCCAGGCTGGAATGCAGTGGAGTCATTATAGCTCACTGCAGGCTTGAACTCCTGGCCTCAAGCCGTCAGGGTAGTTAGGACTACAGGCATGTGCCACCATGCCTCGCTATTTAAAAAAAAAAAAAAAATTTGTATAGATGAGGTTCCACTATGTTGCCTAGGTTGGTCTCAAACTCCTGGGTCCAAGCGATATACCTGCCTCGGCCTCCCAAAGGCATGAACCACTGCATCCAGCTTCAGATTTCAGCTGTGTTTTGTAATTCTCCTTGTGGAGATCGTTCACATCTTAGGTTAGTTGTATTTGCAGGGATTTTATTTTCATCCTAGGTGTTGTAAATATGATTGTGTTCTTAATTTAACTCTCAACCTGGATGTTGTTGTTGTATAGAAATGCTACTAATTGTTGTACATTGATTTTGTATCCTGAAACCTTGCTAAAATCCTTTATCATTTCTAGTAGACTTCTGTTGAAGTCTTTAAGGTTTTTTAGGTATAGAATGATATTGTTGGGTGAAGACAGATAGTTTGCCTTAATCTTCACTTCCTATTTGGGTGCTTTTCTCTTTTTCTGTTGCAAGATTGCTCTGACTAGGATTTCTGGTACTATGTTGAATAGGAGTGGTAAGAGTGGATGTCCTTGGCTTGTTTCATTTCTAAAGGAGAATGCTTTCAGCTTTTGCCCATTGAGTATTATATTGGCTGTGGGTTTGTTGTAGATAGCTCTTTTTTATTTTGAAGTATGCTTATTTGAAGCCTCAACTGTTGAGGGTTTTTTTTTGTTTTGTTTTTTCATGAAGGGACACTGGATTTAATTGAAAGCTTTTCCGGCATCCATTGAGATGATCATATGGTTTTTGATTTAATTCTGTTTATCTGGTGAATCACATTTATTGATTTGCATATGTTGAACCAGCCATGCATCCCAGGAATAAAGCCTGTATTGTCATAGTAGATTAATTTTTTGATATGCTGCTGATGGATTCAGTTTGCTAGTACTTTGTTGAGAATTTTTGAGTCTATGTTCGTCAACAGTGGTCACCTGAATGTTCTTTTTTTTTGCGTCTCTGCCAGGTTTTGGTATTAAGCTGCTTCTGGCTTCACAGCGTGAGTTAGGAAGGAGTACGTTCTCTTCAACTTTTCTGGAATAGTTTCAGTAGAATTGTACTAGTTCTTCGTTATACTTCCGGTAGAATTTTGCTGTGAATCCATATAGTCCAGGGCTTTTTGGCTTGGTAGATTTTTTATTACTTATTCAATTTCAGAGCTTCATATTGGTCTCTTCAGTATTTCAGTATCTTCCTGATTCAATCTTGGAAGATTGCCTGTTTTCAGAAATTTATCCATTTCCTCTAGATTTTCTAATTTTTGTGTCTAGAGTTATTCCTAGTATTCTCTGAGGATTATTTTGTATGTCTGTGGGACCATTTTTAATGTCGTTTTTGTCATTCTGATTTATATATTTAGATCTTCTCTTTTTTTTCTTTGTTTATCTAGCTAAAGGTCTATCAATCTCTTTTTTTAAATCAACTCTTGGTTTCATTAATCTTTTGTATGGATTTTTGCATCTCAATTTCATTCAGATCTTCTCTATTTTAGTTGTTTCTTTTCATTCCTAGCGTTGATGTAGGGTTGTTCTTTTTTTTTTCTTCCCTAGTTCCTTTAGGTGTAGTGTTAGATTGTTAATTTGAAGTATTTCTAACTTTATGATAAAGGCATTTAAACGTTCCTCTTAACACTGATTTAGCTGCATCCCAGAGATTTTGGTAATTTGTGTTCCCATTTTCATTAATTTCACTTTCTTAAAATTTCTCCCTTAATTTTGATTTTCACACAGAAGTTATTCAGGAGAAAGTTGTTTAATTTTCATCTATTTGTGTAGTGTTGAGAGATGTTGATATTTATTTATATTTTGATTACATTGAGATCTAAGAGTGTGCTTGATATGATTTCATTTTTTAAAATTTATCCAGACTTGCTTTATGACCAAGCATGTGGTCAATGTTAGAATATGTTCCCTGTGCAGATGAGAAGAATGTATATTCTGTGGTTATTGAGTGGAGTGTTCTGTAGATGTCTTATTAGGTCCAAATGGTCAAGTGTGAAGTTTAAGTACACAGTTTCTTTCTTGGTTATCTGCTTTGATGATCCAGTGCTGCCAGCGGGGGTGTTGAAGTCTCCTACAGTTATTGGGTGGTCGTCTGTCTTTTTGTAGTCCAAAAAGAACTTGTTTTATGAATCTGGGTGCTCCATGTTGGGTGCATTTATATTTAGGGTACTTAAGTATTCTTGTTTGATCATATACTTTCTCATGACGTAATGCTCTTCATTCTTCAATTGTTCTTTTTAATTTTGATTAAAGTCTGTTTTATCTGATATAAGAATAGTTACTCCTGCTTTTTTGTTATCATTTGCATGGCAGATTTTCTCCATCCCCTTATTTTGGGCCAGTGGCTGTCATTACATATGAGATGAGTCTCTTGAAGACTACAGATGGTGAGCCTTGCATTTTTATCCAGTTTGCCATTGTATGTCATTTAAGTGGGGGTGTTTAGCCTATTTACATTTATGGTTAATGTTGATACATGAGATTTTGATCCTATCATCACGTTTGTAGCTGGTTTTTAGGTAGACTTGATTGTGTAGATACTTTATAGTGCCTGTGAGCTATGTACTTAAGTGGGCTTTTGTGGTAGCAGGTGTCATTCTTTTTACTCAATGTATAGCACTCCCTTAAGGACCTTTCATAAGGCTGGTCAAGTTGAAATTGATTCCCTCAGTATTTGCTTATCTGAGGAGAAATTTGTTTCTTCTTCACTTAGGAAGTTTAGTTTAGTGAAATATAAAATTATTGCCTGGAATTTATTTTCATTAATGATGTTGGACATAGGCCCTTAATCTCTTCTGGCTTGTAAGGTTTTTGCTGAGATATTTACTACTAGCCTAGTGGAGTTCTTGCTTTATGAAAACATGACCTTTCTCTCTAGCTGCCTTTAAGATTTTTTTTTTCTTTTGTATTTACTTTGGTGAATATGATGACTGTGTGCCTTAGGGATAGTCACCTTTTGTAGTGCCTAGCTGGGTTTGCTGTATTTTTTGGATTTACATGTCACTCTCTCTAGCGAGGTTAGGAAAATTTTCATAGACTCTATTCTCAAATCTATTTTCCAAGTTGCCTTTTCTCTTTGTTTCTCTTCTAGGAATGACAATGAGTCGTAGATTTGGTCTCTTTATATAATTCCATATTTCTTAAAGCTTTGGTTCATTTTCTTTTTTTAATTCTTTTTTAAAATTTTCTTTTGACTCAGTTGATTCAACGAACCAGTCTTTGAGCTCTGAGATTCTTTCCTTAGCTTGGCCTACCTTCTGTTAATATTTCTTATTGTATTATAAAATTCTTATACTGAATTTTTTCTGCTCTAGAAATTCAGTGTGGCTGTTGTTTAAAATGGCAATTTCATCTTTCAGCACTTACTTAAATTGCTTTACTGGATTACTTGGCTAGGGTTTCAACTTTCTCCTTAATGTTCATGAGCTTCCCTGCCATCGAGGTTCTGTATTCTATGTCTGTTGCAATTATTTTAGACTGATTAAGAACCATTGCTTGGTAGCTAGTGGGCTAATTTTGAGGTAAGAGGACACTCTAGCTTTTTGAATTGCCAGAGTTCTTGCACTGATTTTTTCTCTTCTGGTAGGGTTAGTGTTCCTTTAACTGTAGTGTATGTTGAGTATAGGCAATTGGTTTTGTTTCTGGATGCTTTCAAAGGGTCAGGGCTTTCTCTGTCCAGGATTTTTATGTATGAGTAATTCTGGTGTTTGGTTTCACAGGTGTATATGTAGCAGGATAAATTTTGATGTTGTAGTTTGGGATGTGATCCAATGCATAGTGCTTAAGAGTGATGGCCAGTGGCTAGCCTAATACCCAGTGGCATGGCTGTTTTATACTTCCTTTTGTTTGCAGGTGTGCTCTATAGTGGGGGTGGGAGAGATGCCTCCATCACCAGATGTGCTCCTGGGCCCTGGGGGAGTCTCCTGCAATCACTGTGTTTCTTGTGTTAGGTGTTCTAGGCCACAGGTCTCTCTCAGGCAGAGGCCCTTTCCTAGGAGCCATTCTGGGGAACTAGCTGTAGTGTTTGGGTTCCCTGCACAGGCTTCCTCCCTCTTCAGCTCAGCTTCATTGCTGCCTCTGCATCCACTCAGCATTTTCTCTCTCAAGATCTGCCTAAATTACGGTGGTTTACTCCATAATTTGGTATCTCTCAGTGGGGGTGGTGCTTCCTGACCATGTCAAATTGACCATGTATTGTCACAGAATGAAAACCTTTTGATAGACTTTGTAACATTTTTGAATATTACATTCAGGAGTAAAATCTTACGCAGTGTGATCCCAGCTTTCTCTTCACTTTTGAGAATAACCTTAAGTAATTAAAGGATAATTAAATATGTAATTAAAAATTGAAAAATATAACAGCTACACTTCCAGATGTTAGCTTCTTTCAGAAAATTTTAAAATCTCTTTAAAGAAAGGTAAATTGAGACCAAAATAGATTAATAGCTTTATAAAAATAAGTGCTCAAGGAGGGTGTTACATGTGAAAATTAAACTTGGAATTTGTCATTTTACCCGTAAAATTACTGAGAGTAATTTCCTTGAAATGGAAATAACTTTACAAATTTTTAATTAACAAAAATGCTAAAATATTACTCCGCTTACCTTTATGTAACCTCTTCCTTGAAAACAACAATTTACTCATCTGGTGTGTGACTCTGATAACCTTCAATCATTCTCTATATCTGACACCATGACTAGTAACTTAGATCTTTAACTAAGCAACCTTTCTTTCCACCTTTGTGATATTATATCTAGTAATTTAATAACAGACAATCTATGTTGCAAATTAAACTTCCAAATTGAATAGTAATTTTCAAATCCCAAGGACCCATTTCTTCTGCCTCAATCTTAATTAGGTCTTAGTTAATAGAAAAATTAACTGGCTGGGTGCGGTGGCTCATGCCTGTAATCCCAGCACTTTGGGAGGCCAAGGTGGGCGGATCACCTGAGGTCTGAAGTTCGAGACCATCCTGGCCAACATGGTGAAACCCCATGTGTACTAAGAACACAAAAAATTGGCCGGGTATGGTGGTGGGTGCCTGTAATCCCAGCTACTCAGGAGGCTAAGGCAGGAGAATCACTTGAACTGGCGGGGTGGAGGATGCAGTGAACCGAGATCCCAGCACTGCGCTGCAGCCTGGGCAGCAACAGTGAAACTCCTCAGAAAAAAAAAAAAAAAAAAAGAAAAAGAAAAAGAAAAAAGAAAATTAACTAAATCAAGCCTAAATAAAACATATTCACAAAGTGGCAGACTTTTTTAATCCAAAAATTTAACTGTATTAATGTCTCATTTGTAGAACATTATTTTACAATGAGGTTTTACACATCAATCAGTTGAGTCACTTCTTTTTTTTTTTGAGATGGAGTCTCGCTCTGTTGCCCAGGCTGGAGTGCAGTGGTGTGACCTCAGCTCACTGCAGCCTCCACCTCCTGGGTTCAAGCGATTCTCCTGCCTCAGCATCCTGAGTACAGGCACTACAGGCACGTGAGCAAGAGAAGCTGACAGATTCAAATGTTCACAAACATTTATGTTCTATTTTGATAGATACATAAACTATGTTTCTCATTCTTATATACTTTATATTAGGGCATGGGATTAAAGTCAAAATAGTGGAAAATTAGTAGAAATAACATATTTTATATCCAATTTAGTCTCCAAAATCCCAACATGCACTCTTCTGTATACGTTTTTCAGTATGCTTGACTGGAACGGCCAATTCTACAGTAGTCTTGGAAGCAACATACTGCAGATTAAATACCTTAGTAGCCTATGTTCTTGAATGCGGACATAAAGGAGCAATGCTTTTCCTATCTTAAAAAAACAGTTTATATGAATGAAACTTCTGTTCTGTTTAAGATATTATATGTTGTTGAGTGTAGTTGTCAAAGCAACTAGCACGATTCCAAGTAATATAGAAATCACCAGCTTGAGTTGGGTCTGCCATAACAGCACCTAAAACGTATCCACTAAATTAGTATTAAATGGACAAGTAAACCAAACTCAGAGGGTTGAAATGAAGACTTGTAATACCCAGTGAAAAAAAATTATTGAAACTACCATCTAAAATTAATTGGAAGCTTAATATTACCTCTAGGAAAGAGTGTGGGAAATGAGGAAAGGCAAAAGGTAATGTGTTCATGTTTGTTCTGTTCCATAATCCAA
Organism: Homo sapiens; assembly: GCF_000001405.40. Taxonomy (NCBI): domain Eukaryota; kingdom Metazoa; phylum Chordata; class Mammalia; order Primates; family Hominidae; genus Homo; species Homo sapiens. The sequence continues at coordinate 1,767,778 of NW_025791777.1, read as the reverse complement.
GAAATAGATAAACACAGGCAAAAAAAAAAAAAAAAAAGAAATATCCTGTCTTTAGAGTGGAAAGAAAGTGGATAGAGTTGAGTTGCTAAACCTTAGCATTATTGACATTTTATGCCTGATATTCCTGCATTCTGTGGGAGGTTATTCTTTGCATTGTAGGATATTAATAGTATCTTTAGGCTATACCACCACATACCAGTAGCATCACCACCTAATCATTATAATTCAAAATGTCTCCAGACACTGACAAGTGTTCTATGGAAACAAAGTCATTCCTTGTTGGAAACCACTTGTAAACAAAAAGTCTAGTAATGGTGGAATTATACAGTGACAGAAAAGCTCAGGTTTTTCTGATTAGGTTGAAAAAGCTGCTCAGAAATTAAATCCTACTGTGTTCATAAAAAACAAGGAACCCAGCCCTGAAGCAAAGAACTCATCAGGGAAGTTGTTTTCTCTTTCAAGTCTGTGATTTCAAATGACCTTAAAGTGGTCATCTTTACAGTCAGAGAAGCATATGTGTGTTGGGGAGGAGAAAAAAGAAGGAAATGAGGCAGACTTTAGAATTATACCTAGGAAAGAACTGTATGTTTGGTTATAAACTAGATCCAATAAATAAATAAATGGTTTCCATATAACTACTTGGCAAAGGTACAATAAGCCTATTGTGAGAAAAAAAATTAAGGCTTAAAATATCCTCAAGCATCCCAAATTGCACTAATCAGTGCAATTGATTAGTCATGCTGAGAAAACACTCATTGTTCTAATTTAAGATGGAGGCATGGAGAATAAGAGAAAATGTAAATTACCTCAGAAAGTAAATCTATGAGCCACAGGGACAATGGACCTTAAAGTTATTTCCACAGGACATGTTTATGGTTTCATCAAATAAATATTTGTACTGCTCAGAAATATTTTTGTCAGTGCTCTGCAGACTTCTTTGTCTTCTGATAGGAGCTTCACCATGGTAACTTAGATTTTACAGATAATTTGTCTTTTGACTTTATAGGACACTAGTCCTCGTTAAGTCATATAGTGGCCTGAGGGAGAGAACTGCACGTCATGAAACATCCTGAACTCTAAGTTGTAGGCAGTAACTGGGCAAAACTTTAAGTTGTTTACAGAGGGAAGAAAAGTGAATTTTTCATATATAAAGAAGTGTGCAAATTGTATTTCATGAGTAGTCTTTTGTCTTCTGGAATGGTGATATATACAAAGTAATCTGGGAAGATACAATTTGGTAATAGTAGATCCTTCGTTAACTTGAATTATTTTTTGCAGGAAAGATGCGTCTTTAGCCAAAATTACTTATGGTAAACTGTTATGTAAGCAAGAAATCACCTTCTACTTGGTTTAAGCTATTCAGTGTACTCTCTAGATAGATATGACACAAAGCTAGCATTATGATACAGTAAACCAAGTGTTAATGTAACTTTATGTTGATTTTGACTACATTCTGAAAATAATAAAAGTCATCTGATATTTTAGGCTTACGATATGAACTTGATACTATGATAGGTGTCTGAAATGTTTATCTCATTTGATTCTTAGAACAAACTTATATTGTAGGTACTAATACAGTACTGATTTTTTAAATAAGAAAAAGGATTGCAAAAAATGTAAAAAGTCTTATTAAAAAGTACAAAATTCTATCTCCAAATGTGTAATGAATTTTATATAGTCAGTTAATATTTGTTTAGCTCAATAAAGTAATGTTCGGTGTAATAGTTGATTTCTTTAATGTTCATTCAGAATCACATTATCAATTTGAAATTAATTCACCTATTCGAAGAAGTTGCTTCCTCCAATTAAGACAGTATAGTAAGCAAAATAATGGTTTACAAAACAAACAAACCAACAAAAAAAAAACCGCATGTCCTGATTTCTGGAAGCTGTGAATATGTTAACTATCTGGTAAAAGGGGCTTTGCAAGTATTATAATGTTAAGGATGGTAAGATGAAAAAGTGTCCTTTTGAGTTCAGTGTAATCAAATGGGTTTAAACTAGGGAAACATTCTTGGCTAGAAACATAAGGTGGTATGATTTCAAAAGAATGGTCAGAGAGACACAGCATTTCTGGTTTGAACAAATGAAAGACCATAAGCTAACAAATCAGGACAGCCTCTGGAGGCTGGAAAAGTCAAGGAAACTGATTTTCCCCTAAAACCTTCAGAAAGGAACACAACAGTTCTCACTCTTTGATTTTAGCCTCATAAGATGCATTGCAGACATCTGACAAACACAATTGTTTGACACTATATTTGTGCTATTTTAAACCACTAACTTTGTAGTAATTGGCTACAGCAGCAGTAAGAAAATAATGCAGAGTGTTTCTATAATGGAGATAAAAGTATAAACAAGAGGCAAGGATTTCCTTCCTTCACAGTGTTTATAATATACTAAGAAAACAAACATTAAATACACAGGGCCCCAATAGATTATTCCACTTTAATTTTAGCTGGCACTGTGGAAGGAAAATAGAAATTCTAGAATATAGTGAATAGGAATATAACTTATTCTTATGTGGGAAGAAATGCTTATTACTGAATACTATTTGGGCTGAAAATAAATGCACTGTAGTTACAGTAAGTACAGTAAAAAAGGTAGTTTGCTATAAGGGAACAGAGCCATTGAAATGTAATGAAAGTCATCAAAGTTTTAGGCACTAACTATAAGTTGCAAGGAGTTAAACAATTGTAAGCAGTCCGATTATTAAAAAAATATGTGCCTGATTCTCAAAATCACAAGTATTCTTTAAGATTGCTAACCGTAGTAGTCAGTTTTCACAATGATATAAAGAATGACTTGAGACTGAGTAATTTATGAAGAAAAGAGATTTAATTGATTCATAGTTCTTCAGGCTTTACAGGAAGCATGAATGGGAGGACTCAGGAAACTCAGAAAATCATGGTGGAAGGCAAAGGGGAAACAAGGTTCTTCTTGACATGGCACCAGGAGAGAGAGAGCACAAGGAGGGAAGTGCCACACACTTTTAAACCATCAGATCTCTTGGAACTCACTCACTATCATGAGAATAGCATGTGGAAATCTGCTCCCATGATCCAGTCACCTCCACCCAGGCCCCTCTCTTGACATGAGGGGATTACAATTTGAGATGAGATTTGGGTGGGGACAGAGGGCCAAGCCATATTATTTCTCCTCTGGCCCCTCCCAAGTATCATGTCCTTCTCACATTTCAAAACCAATCATGCCTTCCCAACAGACTGGAAGTCTTAACTTATTCCAGCATTAACTCAAAAGTCCATGTCCAAAGTTTCATCTGAGACAAGGCAAATCGCTTCTGCCTATAAGCCTGTAAAATCAAAAACAAGTTAGTTAATTTCAAGACAACAGTGGGGGTACAGGGATCAGGTAAACACTCCAATTCCATAAGGGAGAAATTAGCCAAAACAAAGGGTCTGCAGGCCCCATGCAAGTCCAAAACCCGACAAGGCAGTCATTAAATCTTAAGGCTCTGAAACAATCTTCTTTGACCTCATCTCTCACGTCCAGAGCATACTGATGCAATATCTGGGCTCCCATGAGCTTTGACAGCTCTGCCTCTGTGGCTCTGCAAGGCACAGCCCCCACAGCTGCTTTCACAGGCTAGGATTGAGTGCCTGTGACTTTTCCAGGCACACTGTGCAAGCTGTCAGTGGATCTACCATTCTGGGGTCTGAAGCACTATGACCCTCTTCTCAAAGCTCCAGTAGGGAGTGCCCCAGTGGGGAATCTGTGTGGGGGCTCCAACCCCACATTTTCCCTCTGCACTGCCCTAGTAGAGGTTCTCCATAAGGGCTCCACTTCTGCAGCAGACTTTTGCCTAGACATCCAGGCATTTCCATACATCCTCTGAAATCTAGATGGAGGTTCCCAAACCTCACCTCTTCCCTTCTGCACAACCACAGGCCCAGCCTCATGTGGAAGCCACCAAAGCTTGAGGCTTGTATTCTCTGAAGCAATGGCCTGAGTAGTGCCTTGGACCCTTTTAGCCACAGTTGGAGCTGAGCAGCTGGAACACTGGGCACCATGTCCCGAGGCTGCCCAGAGCAGCAGGGCCCTGGGCCCATCCCACTAAACAATTTCTCCCTCCTAGGCCTCCAGGCTTATAATGGGAGGGGCTGCCTCAAAGGTCTCTGAAATGTACTGGAGACGTATTCCACATTGTCTTTGCCATTAACATTTGGCTCCTCTTTACTTATGCAAATTTTTGCTTGAATTTCTCCCAAGAGCGTGGGTTTTTCTTTTTTACTATATGGTTAGGCTGCAAATTTTCCAAACTTTTATGGTCTGCTTTCCTTTTAAATATACGTTTCAGTTTCAAGCCATCTCTTTCTTCATGGACATGAGCATAAACTTTTAGAAGCAGCCAGGCCACATGTTGGAAGGTCTGTTGCTTAGAAATTTGTTTCACCAGATACCCTAAATCATCTCTCTGAAGTTCAACATTACACAGATCTCTAGGGCCGGGTCAAAAGGCTGTCAGTCTCTTTGCTAAAGCATAGCAAGAGTAACTTTTTCTTCAGTTCTCAATGAGTTCCTCATCTCCATCTGAGACCCCCTCAGCCTGGACTTCATTATCCAAATCATTATCAGCATTTTGTTCACAACCATTCAACAGGTCTCTAGGAAGATTTAAACTTTCCCATATCTCCCTGTCTTCTTCTGAGTCCTCCAAACTGTTTCCTACCTCTGCCTGTTACCCAGTTCCAAAGTTACTTCCATATTTTCAGGTATTTTTATAGCAATGCCCCACTTCTCTGGTACCAATTTTCTGTATCTATCTCTTCTCAAACTGCTATAAAGAACTACTGGGTAATTTATGAGGAAAAGAGGTTTAATTGACTCACAGTTCTGCAAGCTTAACAGGAAGCACGACTGGGAGGCCTCAGGAAACTAACAATCATGGCAGAAGGTAAAGGGGGAGCAGGTGCCTTCTTCACATGGTGTCAGTAGAGAGAAGAGCCGGGGGGAAGTTCCACACACTTTTAAACCATCAGATCTTGTGAGAACTCACTGACTGTCACGAGAACAGTATGGGAAATCCACCCCCATGATCAAATCACCTCCTACCAGACCCCTCCCCTGACACGTGGGGATTACGATTCAACATGAGATTTGTGTGGGGACACAGAGCCAAAGTATATCACTCACCTAATAAGTGCTTATCTTGATTAAATTGTATGGAAAACTACAACTTAAATTATGTGATCAGAAATTCTATCTAATGATAGACATTAATTCAAATGCCACCATGTTCTCCTGTCAGCTTCTCATATATTGTCATGGATATGATTTAATTGTCCTTCAGTGTCATGGAACACATCCTGAGATTCAGCTGATGAAGTTGCAAACTGGATAAATATAAATGATGATGTTTCAAAAAAGAAAATCCTCACTTAGTAAAAAAATGTTAGGTTTATTTTACACTTTCTTGACAGCTGAACTAATATAAAAAGCACTCACCTTGTTTCTTTCAGTTTTGTGTATGTTTTGATTGTGTCAGCTGAGTTCTTCTTCACGGGATTTTCTATGTGTCAGAGACACTTGTCCCCCATTCTGTTTTCCTGTGTAATCTCAAAATTGACAAGGGTCTTCACTGTATGTGAAAAGGATGTCTGTGTTGCTTGATTTTATGTGTGACTACTGTTTGCGATTGTCCTTTTCCCAATATGACATGTAATTTTACAGCACAGATAGTTTTTCAAAAGAATTACATTCCCAGGCTTAGCAGAGGGAGCGGCCTACTTATTGAAATGTGAAATCGAATCTCTGAAACAGAAACACCAAATTATTATACTAATCTGTAAAGTAGCTATAAAACGTTATTTTTCAGAGTGAAGTATCTGTCAAGATGGCTAGTTTTGGTGTATAATAGAAACGGTATTTTATTCCTTTTATTTCTGTAAACAGATTAAGTCTGTGTGTGTGTGTGTGTGTGTGTGTGTGTGTGTGTGTGTGTGTGTGTACATGGGATATAATACAAATCTACCTCGACTTATAATGAGTTACATCCTGATAACCACAGGCCAAGATGTGTTATGATGGATCTGGATATACTCATAAGTTGAAAATATTTTAGGTAAAAAATGCATTTAGTACATTTAACAAAAATACTGGCAAACCGAGTCCAGCAGCACATCAAAAAGCTTATCCACCAAGATCAAGTTGGCTTCATCCGTGGGATGCAAGACTGGTTCAACATACGCAAGTCAATAGATGTAATCCATCACATAAAGAGAACCAAAGACAAAAACCACAAGATTATCTCAATAGATGCGGAAAAGGTCTTTGACAAAATTCAATAGCCCTTCATGCTGAAAACTCTCAATGAACTAGGTATTGATGGAACATATCTCAAAATAATAAGAGCTATATATGACAAACCCGCAGCCAGTATCATACTGAATGGGCAAAAACTGGAAGCTTTCCCTTTGAAAACTAGCACAAGACAGTGATGCCCTCTCTCACCACTCCTATTCAACATAGTGTTGGAAGTTCTGGCCAGGGCAGTCAGGCAAGAGAAAGAAATAAAGGGCATTCTATTAGGAAAAGAGGAAGTCAAATTGTCCCTGTTTGCAGGTGATATGATTGTATATTTAGAAAACCCCATCATCTCAGCCCAAAATCTCCTTAAGCTGATGAGCAACTTCAGCAAAGTCTCAGGTTACAAAATCAGTGTGCAAAAATCACATGCATTTGTATACACCAATAACAGACAATCAGAGAGCCAAATCATGAGTGAACTCCCATTCACAATTGCTACAAAGAGAATAAAATACCTAGGAATCCAACTTACAAGGGATGTGAAGGACCTCTTTAAGGAAAACTACAAACCACTGCTCAACGAAATACAAGAGGACACAAACAAATGGAAGAACATTCCATGCTCATGGGTAGGAAGAATCAATATCGTGAAAATGGCCATACTGCCCAAGGTAATTTATAGATTCAATGCCATCCCCATCAAGCTACCAATGACTTTCTTCACAGAATTGGAAAAAACTAAAGTTCATATGGAATCAAAAAAAGAGCCCATATTGCCAAGACAATCCTAAGCAAAAAGAACAAAGCTGGAGGCATCACGCTACCTGACTTCAAACTATACTACAAGGCTACAGTAACAAAAACAGCATTTTACTGGTACCAAAACAGAGATATAGACCAATGGAATGGAACAGAGGCCTCAGAAATAACGCTAAACATTTACAACCATCTGATGTTTGACAAACCTGACAAAAACAAGAAATGGGAAAAGGATTCCCTATTTAATAAATGGTACTGGCTAGCCATATGTAGAAAGCTGAAACTGGATCCCTTCCTTCACCTTATAGAAAAATTAATTCAAGATGGATTAAAGACTTAAATGTTAGACCTAAAACCATAAAAACCCTAGAAGAAAACCTAGGCAATACCATTCAGGACATAGGCATGGGCAAGGACTTCATGTCTAAAACACCAAAAGCAATGGCAACAAAAGCCAAAATAGACAAATGGGGTCTAATTAAACTAAAGAACTTCTGCACAGCAAAAGAAACTACCATCAGAGCGAACAGGCAACCTACAGAATGGGAGAAAATTTTTCCAATCTACCCATTTGACAAATAGCTAATATCCAGAATCTACAAAGAACTTAAACCAATTTACAAGAAAAAAACAAAGCCATCAAAAAGTGGACAAAGGATATGAACAGACACTTTTCAAAAGAAGACATTTATGCAGCCAACAGACACATGAAAAAATGCTCATCATTACTGGTCATCAGAGAAATGCAAATCAAAACCACAATGAGATAGCATCTCACACCAGTTAGAATGGCGATCATTAAAAAGTTGGGAAACAACAGGTGCTGGAGAGGATGTGGAGAAATAGGAATGCTTTTACACTGTTTGTGGGAGTGTAAACTAGTTCAACCATTGTGGAAGTCAGTGTGGCAATTCCTCAAGTATCTAGAACTAGAAATACCATGTGACCCAGTGATCCCATTACTGGGTATATACCCAAAGCATTATAAATCATGCTGCTATAAAGACACATGCACATGTATGTTTATTGTGGCAGTATTCACAATAGCAAAGACTTGGAACCAACCGAAATGTCCATCAATGATAGACTGGATTAAGAAAATGTGGCATACATACACCCTGGAATACTATGCTGGTATAAAAAATGATGAGTTCATGTCCTTTGTAGTGACGTGGATGAAGCTGGAAACCATCATTCTGAGCAAACCTTCGCAAGGACGGAGAACCAAACACCGTGTGTTCTCACTCATAGGTGGGAATTGAACAACGAGAACACTTGGACACAGAGTGGGTAACATCACATGCTGGGGCCTATTGTGGGGTGGGGGGATGGGTAGGGATAGCATTAGGAGAAATACCTAATGTAGATAATGAGTTAATGGGTGCAGCAAACCAACATGGCACATGTATACATATGTAACAAACCTGCAAGTTGTGCACATGTGCCCTAGAACTTAAAGTATTAAAAAAAAATACACTTAAGAAATGTGCTCAGAACACTTACATTAGCCAGTCCAAAAAAAAAATCTAACCTAAAGCCTATTTTTAAATAAAGTGTTGAATATCACATGTAAATTATTAAATACTGAATGTGAAAAATGGAATGGGTATATGGGTAATAAAAGCATTGTTTCTACTGAATGTTTATCACTTTTGTACCATGATAAAGCTGTAAAGTTGTACCATTGTAAATCTGGGACCATCTGTGTTACATTCAAGAGAAAAGCTCAGTCGAACTAATAAATAAATCAAAATTTCTTCTGATTATTTAGGTGTTTTTTCCTGTTAGATAATTAAGACATCCAACTGTTGCTTGCTGCTTCACCACACAGACCATACACAGATACAAATACACACTCCATGAATGAGCATATGTGCTTGTTTAAAGAGACATACTAACCAAACAGTTGTATGCTGCCGTGATATTGATTATGTCATCAAGTTCCTTATTTAACAAAACACAGCTGTGTATGAAGTATTTCTCTAAAATGTACATTCAATAGCAACTGGTTTTGTTCAGTCTTATGTACCCATATTATTTAAATGAGCACCTGGAGTCTAGAATTAACTAAAAAATATCTATGTTGATGCATATTAAGTTGATTTTGAAGTCATAAATTTTGACAAGAATTGATACTATGGCACTGTCATAACTTTACAAAAGATGACCTGAACTAACATGATTTTATGCTTTTACCAGTGGAACTCCCTGAAATATATTCAGATAATTTGTTATTAAAGCAAAACTAAGTTTATTGAAACCCTGTGCCAAGAAAGTACACCATTTTGACATACTTTTGCAGTGTTTCAGCAGGGAAGAGTGAGAGGAAGATTTTTCATGTTTGTGGAGAATGGCTTAAGAGAGTTAAATGAGTCTTTCAAAGTGAGTAGCTGATTGAAATTGAGCTAAACTCAGAGCATAATAGTTTAGATAGTCTAAGAAATTGAAAAAAAAGTTGATGCCAAGCATACAAGAAATAACACCACCAAAAAATAGACCTAAATACAGACAAAATTAGATTAAAAACAAGAATATGTTCAATGTTAATAAAAGCAAAAGGAACATAGACATAGTTATGGAGGAGTTTTGTTTTGTTTTAATAAGATAAAAATATGGTTAGTTTTATAGCAATACACCTGGAAATCTGGATCAATTCTGTCCACTATAGTCATTACTAGTGACATGTAGATATTGAACACTTGAAATATGGTGGATTTGAATTGATTTATGCTATATGTAAAATACAAACTAGATTTAGTTTAAAAAATGTAAAACTGAATAATTTTAATATTGTTTTATGCTGAGATGACAATATTTTGGATATACTGGATTAAATACATATAAAATATTGTTAAAAATCAAGTAGTATAGTAAAATTGGTCTTTTTGTTTTACTTTTTTATTTTGTTTTGGTTTTTGAAGGGATAGAAATCATGGCTAAGATGGACCCTGGGGCATATCATTGACCATCATGAAACATGCACTGATTTGCCAAATGTATTATTTTCCTGTGGCTGTTATAAAAATCACAATACACTTAGTAGTTTAAAACAACATAAATTTATTGTCTAGCAGTATTCCAGGTTAGAAGTTCAACACAGGTCTTACTGATTTAAAATCAAAGCATTGGAAGACTGCATTCCTTCTATAGGCTCTGTGGAATAATCCATGACCTGGCCTTTCCCAGGCTTTAGAATCCAGCTGCATTCTTTGATGCATGTTCCCTGTCTTGGGCAGCTTGGAATACTGTAAGAAAATACCATAGACCGGGTGACTTAAACAACTGACATTTATTTCTCAGAGTTCTGAAAGTTGGGAAGTCCAAGATTAAGGTGCTGGTATATTTGGTTCATGGTGAGGGCCCACTCCCTCTCTGGTTAGTAGATGGCCTCCTTCTCTCTGTGTTCACATGGCCTTTCCTGGATACATGTTTACGGAGAGAGAAAGAGAAGGGTGGTTGGGTGGGAGGTGGTCTAGTATCTCCACCTTTTCTTATAAGAACACTAACATTATCATGAGAACACCACACTTAGGACATTATCTCAACCTAGGTTCCTCCCAAAAGCTCCATCTCCAGATACTATCACACTGCCAATTAATAGATCATTGAAAATAATCTATTAATATTTGAACAATGCCAATCATCTTCAATAGATTAATTTTAGGGAGACACAAATATTCAGTTCATAACAGTTCCTTTCCTTGACCTTCAAAGCTACAAATGAAGGAGCAAGTCTTCACATTCTCCTTTTATATCTCCCTCTTCTACGTGTAAAGAATCTTATGATTGCATTTGGCCATCTAAAAATCTATGATAGTCTCTCCATTTCAAAATCCTTAACTCTAATTGCATTTGCAAAGTCTGTCCTGCCAGGTAAGCTAACAAATTTATAAATTATCTGGATTAGGACCCCATCATCTCTGAAGAGCCATTATTCTGACTACCACATCAGTATGTTAGTTTATGTCAAGATTGCTGTAATAATCAATAGGTTCTGGTACCACAAATCCAGTAGCAGTCATTAAGGTTGATTGAGTTTATTGATTGCTTTCAGCTCCATTCTGCTATTAATCACTTTTGGGGATATAAAATGAAGACCTTATCACATAGAGGAAGAGGTAGATGTGATAGGAGCTTGAATATGTAATAAGAATTTTTTATGATATGTAAATGTGAGAAATGAATTAAGTATGTGCCATTTGTTCTCTTCTTTTTAAGACATTTCTTTCTAAAGGTTTAGTGACAGAAGTTGCATTCTATTAAAGATCCCTAAGTGCTGTTCTGCTGTAGGCATAAGCTTTCTTTCCTGGGTGCAGCATGTTAGGATTTAAGATTTCTATTTATCTAATACTCTGCTGTTTGTCAGATAAAATAACAATAAATAGTGAGTCCAATTATTGATAAACCCAGATGTTTCATATTTAGGAATCGATGTTAAAAAAAAAAAACTCTAATTGGCATCCTAAGGAAAATGTGTGCAGCTTAGCACTGATTCAACTGCATGTTTAGCCAAATTGTGAACAAATTACGGCCAGCTTCCGGACTCTTCTAGAGAGTGACTAAGGACGGCATAGAGGAATTAGGAATAGTAGCTTTATAGGTAAAGTAATTAAATGTAACCTTAAGCATAAAAAGATAAAGTTAACTAGGAAAATGAAAACTCAAGATATACAGATTAAATATGACAAACAATGGATCTTTTTTTGTGGATCTTGGTTTGCAGATACCGATATCTCATATAGTGATTCACTTGATCCAAAGGCATTTGATGGAAGCTGTCTTCTCCCAAAGACTATTTGCTTTTGGAAGAATCCTAAGAGTCGTTAGTTAGAAGTTTTTGGTAGGGATACTTTCCTGTAATATGAAGATGACCTAAACCTCTTTACTTGAGAGATAGGAATCAAAGGATCAGTCTTTTAAAGACTATGGGTTTGCTAGTTGTTAGCTGTGCCTGATAGTGACTTTTTTCCTATGATCTTTCCCTGCCGTGTCTCTTAGAAGACAAGGTATCCAGGTATGAAAACCAATTTTGCAGACATTGTTTAGGATACTAATGGGGAAAGTCTTCAGTAACTTTTGTTGAAAGAATGGATTTCCTGAGTCCTTACAGCATTTAGTTAAATAAGTGTAGATTTCTAGAATCAGAGCTAATATTCCTAGACACTTGGTTTAGCTGTTACTAACTCATGAACCACAGAAAGAAGAAATACCTTAGACCATGCAAGTTTGACGATCTCTGTGAACTTTACCAACTTTAGTTTCAGAATTCCATCTTTCTACCTTCCCAAAAGGTTGAAAGTGATATGGACAGTGAAGTCTGATTAATTGACAGAACTTTTCCATGTTAATAAAAATTCCGGTAAAATGGTTTCCTTGTTACTAGAGATATAGTTTGGGATTCCCCAGGCTGAAAAAAAAAAAAAGGATTTTCTCCATGCCAACAAGAGACAAATAATGATCAGAACATATTTAAAATCTATTGCCAGCACTTGTTATGAAAAATTCATTTAGATTTTTACTGAGACATTTTACAGTTTTGTTAGGATTAATCTGACGAAGGTTGAGACAAGTTGTAAGGATATAGTTATATAAAGATATACTTACCAATTTTAGCAAAATTTTCCCCCAGCTGTTGGTTAAATACATTGGTCAATTTGTCCTCATTGTGCCAGAAAAGCTCAGCAGTTCTGACTAAAGTTTATGTTAACCCATTGCCAGTAGAATGAAAGAGTTGAATCCTCTCTTAAATTATAATATATAGTTGACTCCTCAACAACACAGGTTTGAACTGTGCAGGTCTGCTCATATGTAGATTTTTTCCTATAAATATATTAGAAAATTTTTGGAGATTTATGAAAAATTGAAAAAGATAACAGGTGACCCATCTACACAAGAAATATTAAAAAACTAAGAAAACGATGTCATGAATGCATAAATCATATGTAGATACTAGTGATCATTTAATACAATGAAATATATATGCGTCTATTATAAAAAGTTAAAATTTATCAAGACGTAGGCAAACACAGAGCATACATGCAGCCAATTGAAGTTTAGAGAAAAGTAAAACAAAAATATACAAAAGTAAATCATAACTGCACAAAATTAACTGTAGTACATACTGTACTACTGGGATAATTTCCTAGCCTCCACCTGTTGTTCTTGCAGTGAACTCAAGTGTTGTGAGTATTCACTTAAAATGCCACATAATGCTAATCATCTTCTTGTGAGTAGCTTGTCTCTCCAGTAAATTAACACAGTAAAAAGTGTTCTCTCATGTTTCTCCTGTATTATTCATGATGTCTAGTGCAATACCATAAACCTTGAATAACACCTTCAGACCTATAAAAAGTGCTGCTAGTGATGCTGAAAGTTCTTCCAGGAAACAGAGAAGGGTCCTGACATTACAGGAAAACAATGAATTGCTTGATAGGTACCCTAGATTGAGGTCTGCAGCTGTGTGTGCTGCCATTTCAGAAGAAGGATCCATCTTGTAAACACAGGATTGTAAACTTATGAGAGAAATAAATATACTGTAGTACTGTAAATGTATTTTTTCTTCCCTATAATTTTCTTAATAACACTTTCTTTTCTGTAACTAGCTTCATTGTAAAACTACGGTGTAAAATACATACAGCGTATGAAATATGTGTTAAGGATTGTCCAGTCAACAGTAGGCTGTTAGTTTAGTTTTGGGGAGTCCAAAGTTATATGTGAATTTTTGACTGTGCTGGGGTGGTGGGGAGGGGTTAGGGAGGTTTGATGGCCCTAAACCTTGTGTTTTTCAGGAGTCAACTGTACAGTTTAGAAGAATATGATTTAGAATTTCCCTGAGATTAAGAACATATTAAATGGTGGGAAGGATATTGATAGACCTCTAGATCTAGTGACACTATCAACTTTGACTGTGTCTGTTTGATGAAGGAATTAAAATCTAGTAACAAAAGCATTTTGTAGATAGTTATTGTACCAGTCTTTGTTCTTGAACATCAGTGTGTTTTTTTGAACTGAAAATCACACATTGAATGAAAGGCTTCATCTCAATATATTTTATTTACACATAAATTTGAGCTGTTTTTTGTTCACAAGTTTGGCCGATAAAAGAGCCCTCACAATAGCTTTAATTACCATTTAAAATTACAAATTAATGTGATTTTTTAATTTTTCTCTCTTTTGTAGGGTGAAGGAGCAATGCTTTTGGTTACTCAGTATTCTCTCAAGAAAATTTAAAGATAGTTTATACACAGAAGATATTTTAACAGGTTATATTCTGAACTTGTGGCCCGGATTTGGAAAAAGCAATATCAAGTATGGTTCAAGGGGACAAGAAAGAGAGAAGCATTTGTTACCATTTTTCCAAGTCAAAAATATTTAATCAGATAATATTTTAAAAGCCAGCAATAATTAGTAATGATTGGTATAATGTTTTTGTCAAAATTATTAAATAGGAGATAAAATTAAAAGCTTTATTTTTTTGCATTCAAATAAAATTTTAAGTATTTTGATGAGCTTATTAAATCAACAATGCATGTATTACATTGAACCTGACTTCTTAATAAGTTGCAACCAAATCTTTAATGATAAGTTTAGGTCAGAGAGATAATTTTGAGATTTGTCACCATAAAGATAGGGTATAATGTGATGTAAATAATTAAGATCAGGTGGAAAGACAAATAAGATTGAAGGAAGACCCAAGACCAAGGTTTGGGGCACTCTCAGAAGTTCTAAAAAAAAAATTTAGACTATGAGTAAAGAAGGATTGATCAGCAAGGTGAAATGGATCAAGGAAATGTGGGCACTCAGAGGTACAGAGGGGTTAATTGCTGCTCAGAAAATACTCAGACGAATGCTGAACAGTAGATTAGATAGAACCGATGTCCTAGAAATCATGAAGATAAGTGACTTTATTAAAATACATATTATAAACAAAGAAGGAATTTACTGTTCGAAAAGTTGTCTTGAAGAATTGTTTTGGGAGAAAATAAAAAATAAACCTTATTTTCTAAAATACACTAAAACTAATTCCAAATGAGTCAAAGGATTGTGTACAGATATTTTAAATTAATAAAACAATGTTAGTGCAGATTCTCTTTAATTACTTCCCTGATTGTTTTACCTATAGTAACTCATTTAATTCTACTAGCAATCTTTTCATGTTGGATACAGCTATTCAAATTTTCTTTTGTTATTGCAATAGCCTCCTAACCATTCTTCCACAAAATTGAGGCACTAAAAGGTTGTGAAATTTCCTCTATGCCACAGAGCTTTTTAGTGATGATTTGGCATTTGGAAGCACATCTTTGAAATGTTCGTTTTTCTCTGATGGCCAGTGATGGTGAGCATTTCTTCATGTGTTTTTTGGCTGCATAAATATCTTCTTTTGAGAAGTGTCTGTTCATGTCCTTCGCCCACTTTTTGATGGGGTTGTTTGTTTTTTTCTTGTAAATTTGTTTGAGTTCATTGTAGATTCTGGATATTAGCCCTTTGTCAGATGAGTAGATTGTGAAAATTTTCTCCCATTCTGTAGGCTGCCTGTTCACTGTGATGGTAGTTTCTTTTGCTGTGCAGAAGCTCTTTAGTTTAATTAGATCCCATTTGTCAATTTTGGCTTTTGTTGCCATTGCTTTTGGTGTTTTAGACATGAAGTCCTTGCCCACGCCTGTGTCCTGAATGGTAATGCGTAGGTTTTCTTCTAGGGTTTTTATGGTTTTAGGTCTAACGTTTAAGTCTTTAATCCATCTTGAATTAATTTTTGTATAAGGTGTAAGGAAGGGATCCAGTTTCAGCTTTCTCCATATGGCTAGCCAGTTTTCCCAGCACCATTTATTAAATAGGGAATCCTTTCCCCATTGCTTATTTTTCTCAGGTTTGTCAAAGATGAGATAGTTGTAGATATGCGGCGTTATTTCTGAGGGCTCTGTTCTGTTCCATTGATCTATATCTCTGTTTTGGTACCAGTACCGTGCTGTTTTGGTTACTGTAGCCTTGTAGTATAGTTTGAAGTCAGGTAGCGTGATGCCTCCAGCTTTGTTCTTTTGGCTTAGGATTGACTTGGCAACGCGGGCTCTTTTTTGGTTCCATACGAACTTTAAAGTAGTTATTTCCAATTCTGTGAAGAAAGTCATTGGTAGCTTGATGGGGATGGCATTGGATCTATAAATTACCTTGGGCAGCAAAGACTTGGAACCAATCCAAATGTCCAACAGTGATAGACTGGATTAAGAAAATGTGGCACATATACACCATGCAATACTATGCAGCCATAAAAAATGATGAGTTCATGTCCTTTGTAGGGACATGGATGAAATTGGAAATCATCATTCTCAGTAAACTATCGCAAGGACAAAAAACCAAACACCGGATGTTCTCACTCATAGGTGGGAATTGAACAATGAGAACACATGGACACAGGAAGGGGAACACCACACGCTGGGGACTGTTGTGGGGTGGGGGAAGGGGGGAGGGAAAGCATTAGGAGATATATCTAATGCTAAATGACGAGTTAATGGGTGCAGCACACCAGCATGGCACATGTATACATATGTAACTAACCTGCACATTGTGCACATGTACCCTAAAACTTGAAATATAATAATAATAAAATTTAAAAAAAAATGTTCATTTTTAATTATAGCACTACACCATGCACTGAATCACGGAGGGTAAAAATGCACACTGTTAATAAGAAGGAGGGAGTCAATCTCATTAGTATTATAATATTTATACTGAATGAGACTCCATTCCCGAAATTCACAGAATTAAAATAATAAAAATAAAAATTTATTGCTAGCCAATTTGCAGCAAAAAAGATTCATTCTCATATTCTGCTATGAGAAAATAAATGAAATTGAATTTTAAAAGACATTTTTGGAAAGCCCTTTGAATTAACCAGAAAATTGTTAAATTCGTAGTTTTTTTGACTAACATTCTTCTTCCACGTTAACAGAATTTATATATAAGTGACACTCATTGCATATACTTTTAAGGGGTAAAATAATTACTAAATTTATGTACACTATTAATACTTCATTGTATAAAATTGCATATATACCCATATGCAAATGTGCACAGAATCAGTAGGGTAACCATAGACATAAAATGATCAGTGCAGGATATTTTATTTATGCATTTTATATATAATATACTTTTCATTTAATATTTTTGCTAATTTTATTGAATTGAATATTTATGCCTTGGTTATAGAACAACTAAATTTATTTTCAAAGAAACTCCATTATTATTGTCTGCAAGAGTAAAACTTATAAACAATCTAAAAATTCAACCAAATACAACCATTTACAATTGTGCCCTAGTTGAATTTGTAATCGTAGGAGAAAACACAGGTGTTGAATTTTTTGAATTTCATTTAAAAAATAATTGACACAATCCCTAAGGTATCATATAAATTAATTGAATTGTTATTGTCTTGGGTTAACATTTATTTCTAGAGTTTTTTTTCCCCTAATATCTGATTTTTTCCATTAACATTACTTATTTGGATAATCAGAAAAAAATCAACATTGCCAAAAGATAGATAATACCACAAGCGAAATATCTATGATAATGATAGGAAAATGCTTTGAATTCAGGCTGAATGAGAATTAGTCTAGGAAAACAGCTTGGACCCTCTCATTCCTGTTAATGTCATCTCTGTGTTTAGCACTGCTGCTATTCCTCAGCTACTAAGAAATGCTCTATTGCTGGGCATGGCATATGGGAAGCCAAGAAAAATGACTGGCTGCTTGGTGACAGCTCTCTAGTCCTCATGCCAAGTTCTGCCAGTGATTTAAATATTAAGTAATGGAAAGAATTTTGAAATCCAGGATGATTAGAAAAGTCATTTTCTACAAAAGTGAAGCATTGTCTTTAGAGATTAAAATCTATGAAAATAACATTATTGAAATACTAGACTTCAGACTATTTTTCTGAATTACTGTAACTGTTGAAATAGGTCTTTCAGCCCATTAAGATAAACACCACACTTTTCTCTTCATGATCTCCAGCTGTAATTTTATAGTGAAAGGTGCTTGCATAAAAGAGTTCACACTATCTGAAAGATGTCACATGTAACATTGACTGGCAGCCATTTCAGAATGGCAGACAGCCAATAAATCATTCAGAACTATGTGTCACTCGTTGTGGCTTTAAAATTGTATTCCTTCTCCTTTGATAAAGAACATTTCAATGTCAAATAGTTTGTTCTATTTAAACTTATACATCAACCAGAATATTGAGATACACAATAAAATTAAATGATTTGGTAATACCTTTAGAATTTATCTAAAAACAGCCGTATGTATTTGCATGACAGATTTGGTTCACAAACGGATCAAGTTGTTAGTATCAAAGGCATGTTTTAGTGCTGATTTGTGTATAGATAAATTTAGGAAATTACATAAATAGAAATACTTCTTTATAAAATTCCTTGACCTTGTGATATCTTGGTATTAAGAATCTTAAAGGAATCATTTAAAAAAATTCAAAAGCAAACAATTTCGATTTTACAAGAGCTAAGAAAAAAACATTTTGCTATGGACACAGATCGCTCTTCAAGAAAAGATTTCTTTCCCCCTTGGCTGCTAGGAGCAATATTACAAAGCAGCCTTCAGCTCTCAGCTCCTTCAAAGTTTGCCTCAGCTGTAACCATTGTCTGGCTCAATGTTAGGGCATCCTGGAGCACTGGACATGCAAACACGAATGGAGATGAGGTTATAAAGCCTGGCCATTTTGACCCACCTGAGAGGATTCTGACAGGTCCTTCCAGTGCCTGA
The DNA here is from genome assembly GCF_000001405.40 of Homo sapiens. Lineage (NCBI taxonomy): Eukaryota > Metazoa > Chordata > Mammalia > Primates > Hominidae > Homo > Homo sapiens. The sequence continues at coordinate 1,748,984 of NW_025791777.1, read as the reverse complement.
GAAACCCAGGGCTCACATGCTTTATATTCTGATCATTCTGTAGGGGTTGTTCCCATGGGTGATAGAAGCTGCCAAATATAAAGAGGCAACCATGCAAATTTTTAGGAATTATTTCCAAAACTCTCATAACAACATCATATATATTTATTGGTTGTTTAAGTAGATTTCTGAGGAGTAGATAGCAACGATAGAAGTGAAAGAAAGTAAATGCAGTTGTTAAAGGATTAGTCTTCCCATACTTAGAAAGTACACAAGTTGCATATACACTATGTTCCTTCCCTAGAGCAAGTATTTCAATGCAGTCGTGTGTGTGTTTGTGTGCTTGTGTGTGTGTGGTGTGTGTGTGTGTGTGTGTGTATGCTAACTGAACTCATTATAGATTTTATTGGATCAGATATATGAAGAGACTTGGAAGACTTGGGTTTGTCTGGAACTGGGTGAAATAGAGAAGGACGATCATTGACATAGAAAGCTGATTACTTTGTCCTTTGAGTATAAATAGTCTTACAATAAAATGGCATCTCCACTGTCTAAAACACATTTTTACATTTGCTCTCCTTCTGAAATTATTTATGTGAAATTAACAAATGTACTTATTACCTTAGAAACAAACGATCCGTAATTTATATTATTTATTGTATATTTGTAGATCCACTTAAAATTGATTTGCAATATAAGGAAAAAATGCGTTTTATAAGTTGTTTGCTTTGTGTAGTGCATCTTGTTAACCGTAGGACTACTGTTGCATTGAAACAAAATAGAATTAATCTGTTCAGGTAAATAGAACTGGAAGTGAGATTTGTTGTCACTCCTTCTCCTTCAAGTACTGACCAGTCTTTTAATTCACACATAACTAACACTCTGTGCAATAATATTTTTTTGTTCTCTGTCTTTTCAAACAGAACTCAAGCTCCATGAGGAGATGTTTCATTGTCGGTGAGCACATTCTTGTCAATTAGTTCCTTCTTGTTTCTTACTATAGCCCCTGTGTCTAGAACCTTTCCAGGTATTCAGTAGCCATTTAAAAATTATTTGTTGAATGAATTGTTATTTTAAAGAACATCCACAATTTTGCCTGACTGGGCATGGGAATACATGCCCATCTTTGGACTGAATGTCCATTTTTCCCTTCTTTGATTTATCAAAATATTGGTTAAATGATCAGGACTACCGTCAGAAGGAATTTTATATCTAAAAATAGTTTACCTTCTATGGATGTAAAAAATAGTTGTAGTAGTTCTGGCTTTTATATTATTCGATGTTTCAAAGCGGTTTTTTTTTTCCATCACCATATTCTACGTTCTTGAAAAGTACTCGTTCATGTGACTGCTATCATTTATGCTTGTGCAGCACGTAGATACAGGAGAGAAGATAAGGAAAATGCTTACCCTGTGTCTCCTTCCCTGTAACACAGTTTTTTTTTACCATATTGATTCTCCACTTTCTACTCCCTAAGTAAAATTTTGCAACAGGCATTTGGGAAACTCTGGATACAAGAAAAAAATTTTAATATTGTACAAAGAGACAAGAGGTGACTTCTTTTTTATTTTTCATTTAGAGTTTATAGTTTAATTAAAGAAAATGCACATATATCTAAAGATAATCATGGATAATACACTCATGTAATTACTACTTTCAGTGGTTGTAACAACAGCCAAAGCACAAACAGAAATGAGAAAGAATTATCAGCATTATGCAAGTACATATCCTCTTTAAGAATTCCTGTTATAGTGAAAGCATTAAAATAATTGAACACGTACAGAGACCATATACTTTGTGATCTTTTTAAAAAAGTATTCAAAATATATTTCTGTGTGCAAAACATTTTCATAATGGTCTTGTTTAAATGAAAGTATTTAGAATAGCACATTGTAAAATTATGCTGCAGAGCACAAGTATTTTTCTCTTTAGAAGACACATAATAAAATAGAATCATCAGTGTTTTTTCATAAACATGAATCTTTAGAGTGTTACTTGATCCTGCATAATAAGGGTACTTTTTTGCTTAATGTAAGCATAGTATACTAATTCTTTTAAACTTCAGAAAGCATATTTACAGTCTAGGCAGATGGGACATGAAGGTCACACAGCATGAGCAGTGAAATATCTCATTTACCTAGAGTTCTAGAGAGAATTTTAGGAACTCTTATTTATTATCAGTGCATAAACAAGAGTAAACTCTACAAAACTGTTTGCAAAACTCTCCTCTTTCTACTCAGAAGGCTTTCCCTAGAATAATCATTATGGAGTCTGTCCATCCTTTACTCATTCACTGCATGGGGACAGGTGTTAGTTATGAGATTGGTGAATTTAGAAAGCTAACCAATTTCATACCTATTTTGGGATTCTCAATTCACAAACTTTTGTGCGTTTCTTAATTATTTCCTTTCTTTTTCTTGTAGAGAGCAGTCATGATGGCCTGCACTCCACACAATGCAACAGAGTGAAAGAGCAGGTTCTGCTTCTTTGGTGTAGTCCTGAAGCTTCCTAAGAAACTTCACATCAGGTGATGGATAGGAGCAACCCTGTAAAACCAGCCTTAGACTATTTTTCAAACAGTAAGTAATAAAGGTGACGTTTTGATCTTTATCTGCTTAATTACTTCTGCTATGATTCTATTGATTCTAACATTGAAGGAGCAGTAAATTTATATGTATTATCCAACTATAAAACAATAAATAAACGATATGTCAAATACATTATCACATCCTTATGTTCTTATGATAATATTGTCCTTTTTTTAACAGTTTTTATTCTTATTTGTTGATTGGTTTGTCTTTATGTTGTCCTTTCTACTATCAAACTGAACATGTTGAGGTCATAGGCTATCAAAACTGTACATTTCTGATGCTAACCATAGAGACTTAACAACAGTAAATAGGCCAAAATGGAATGTTGTTAGCCATAGTGTGTATTATTATTTCTTTTATACATGTGGTCACTGTTAGAGGAGTTTATGACTTTTTGCCTAGATTAATGACACACAAACCATCTACAAACGAATCATACCTTATTCCCTCACTGTAATTTTTAATGTTGCTATTTTTGCCTGTTAACATTCCATAGGTTTATCACATTGCTTAAAGATTTAATTTAATTTCTGTAATTGTATATGTCATGAGAGATTGCTTTTAACCTTCCAATGTTCGTGGTCTCATTTTCACTAACATAATCCCAACTTTAGCTGCGCACAATACCACATTTCCCAGCATTCCTTGCATCTGGATATAGCTGTATTCAAATAAGCCGTGTGAAACTTCTGGGATGGCTCCTTAAGTGCAGTTGACTCATTAGGGAGGTATGTCTTTTTTATTTTTCTACACTTTGTGCTGCTGTCCTGGAGTACAGACATGGTGGCTAGAAGCATGAAATCACCTTGAAGGTAGAAGTCATGCATTGAAGTTAGTAAAAGTGAAATGTAAGTGTATAGTTTCCTGATGAAAATGGGAAGCTTATGTACTAGCAACAGAATGCTTATTATGCAGGCTTCCTATATGTAAAAGAGGACAAATTCTCATTTTATTAAGTTTCTGAAAGTAGATTTCTAAATGCTGGTTCTATTTTTTATTGAAAGTAATGGCAAAAAACGCAATGCCTTTTGTACCAACCTAATAGTTAATAAACATATCCTCAAATGAAATGTCTTAGAATTGTGTTCATCAAGTTAATATTAATAATTTATTAGAATAGCACTCTAAAGGGTTGCAGCCTATGCATGAAAATACTTACAAACTACTACATGATAATCAATTCTTTTTGGCAAGACTGCTATTTACATGGACACAAGAGTTATTATAAGAATGTTGTATGTATACATGAATAGTGTCTGTTAAACACTGGATATAATAAAAACAATAGTTTTTCTGTTAATTATAACAATCTGAACATTTTTGTGATTATATTTCACAAATGACACACCATTTTATTTGCAGATTTTTCTTATCCCCAAAGTTTTTGTTAATTTATTACCAACACAGCACACAAGTCTAGTGGCAATGCATTACCTCTGCAGTTGATTTTGAAGTAAGAAGGCCTATTTATTGCATTCATTCCTGCTTAGATGACATCTTAAATTTGTTAATTGGATTATTATGCTCTATTCTATACATTTATTGATTTATAGATTTTGTGGACACAAATTTCAAAACATATTCGAAAATTTGGTGATAGCTTTTTAGAATCTATTCTTCAACATAGTTATTGAAAGTGAACAAGAAGGACCTCCTCTAGAGATTAGGTTGAGAACCACTTCTTTGATTTGTTAAATATGTGTACATGGATACCATGTGGCTTTATTATGAGGAGCCACTTAAGTGGCTGAGTTACAATTCACAAAACATTGTCACAGGGAAAATATCAGGACAAATTTTCAAGTCGCATGCCAAGAAAAGAAACTTTCTGAATGCTTATAAGAAATACCTTAATTAATGGGAGCCCTTCAAAGTACACAAAACATCATAACTAGGAGTTGCAACACAACCAGCAATTTGCTGATTGAAATGCATTCATTCATACTGACTTCACCTGCTGAATGGAATATTGTGCTGTACTGTCCTTAGCTATGGAGAGAGAATTAAGGAATATCCCCTTCTGGTGTTCAACAACAACGAAAGAGCAAGAAAGATATATTCCTAATTTTTAAAGAAGAATGTAGAGATACTTAAACAAGACAATGAAGGTGGTAGAAAGATTATTACCATCCCCAAAGTGTTTGCTCATTAAAACATTTTGTGATTTTCTCTGCCAATATCATACCTGTATGGATAATTGTTTTCCTATCCACACAGTTATGAGAGTGAGAAGATGGAATATAAAAGATGGAACAAGAGGGAATCTGTGTGGTGACCACAGTAATCACAGGCTGGTTGGGATCCTAAACTCGGCCACAGCACAAAAGCATGTTCAAGTTTAAAGTCATGAGAGAGGCCTGGCATAGTGGCTCACACCTATAATCCCTGCACTTTGGGAGGCCAAGGTGGGAGGATTGCTTGGGGCAAAGAGCTCAAGATCAGCCTGGGCAACATAGTGAGATCCCATCTAAAAAAATGTTCTTTAAGTTAGCCTTATGTGGTGGCATGTTCCTGTGGTATCAGCTACTCAGGTGGCTGAAGTGGGAGGGTCACTTGAGCCTGGAGGTTGAGCCATAATCATGCCACTGCACTCCAGCCTTGGTGACAGATTAAGACTCTGTCTCCAAAAGTAAAACACCAAACAACACAAAAAGTAAAGTCACAATAAAATGAGATGCTATTAAGGTTGTTTTAGGTTGATTTTCAACTAGACCAGCATTTAGCCTGTACAAAGGCATATACAAAATAAACCCTAAACCTAAATGGGATTCAGCAGCAGCAGTGTGGGTTAAAGAAGCCACCAGTTCCCTGGAGGCCAGAACCACAGGCCTGTGGCCTTTTTTATTGTTTTGACAGGGAGGTGGAAAGCAGGAGTATAACTACATTCAAGTGTCTGCTCTGTTGCTGTAGGAGAAAATCCGTGCTGTAGCACATCAAAGTTTTTCCAAATTTTATTTCTTAGGACATCTTTGGGGTTTATGTAAGTATTAAATAGAGCTCCCCTAGCCCAGGCTTACACAGGACATATGTCTAGTGTCATAGGTCTGTATGCTTAAATTATAGCAGAAAGTTTGCTAAAATTTAAGTGAAGTAATGTTGAAGGTTGAATCATTTGAAACAAACTACCTGCACCAAAATATTCTTTAGTGTACTGATTTCTATCCCACCCCTAATGAGGCTGAATTTTAATCTTAACTCTGCTTGTAATTAGGTATTTATATGTGTCTGTTATTCATTTTTTAACAAGATGTCTCTTCAGAGATAAAATGAGGGTAGCAAAAAATAATTTTAATAGCCATTTATATGGCTTTGATAACAATTGTCTGTTCTACTTATCTGACTGATTCTAAACTCTAAAGGTTATTTTACAGTTAGTAAATTACATAATTTTTATGCAACAATTTGCCTGCCAGGATTCCTATAATACTTGTCAGCTATCAGTAGGTATAAGCCTGTTAGCCTCTAATGTGAAGATAATATCTCTTTAAGTTATAACGCATTTACAATTGTTACAGTTTCTAAGGTCTTTTTGAAGTTAGAGATGCATCTGAGGATGATGGTTTTCAAGGAGATAGCTCTTTGACAAAAAATGACAATATGGGACTTAGTGTTATATTAATTTACACATTATGTTTTTGCTATAAAGAGATAAAAGGTGTGCTATACTACCTATCAATTACTGTATGCCACATTTTGTAGAATTGTTTTCCATATTATTGTAGAATGTGGCACTTAAATAGTATCATGAAAAAAGTTTATTCAAGAAATAAGACATTAATGAAATATAATTAATATATAAAGACTATATTTAAAAATAATTATGTATTTCTAATCCTAAACTTTTTAAGGTGACATTATTTTTTTCTGTGATATAATTTCAGTTGAGAAGAACTTTAAATTTTAATAAGATTTTAAGATGATTCAGTAATGTTAACATACTTTTCTTCTGTAAATTTTGTTAACAATTTAGCTGCATTAATTAAATATTTATGTAGCTAATTTTAATAGTGATATTTTAATACAATTCTTAATTTTACTCCTGGCTTTCAATCATTCATATATGTTTTTAAAAATTGCTTTTTCCATTGCTTTACTTCTTAATTACTTTTATCAAAGTCTTAATTGTGTGTGGTTGATTTTAAAAGTTAAATATTTCTATAAGATTTATAAAGACAAACTGGGTACAGTGAGTCACACCTGTAATCCCAGCACTTTGGGAGGCCGAGGGGGTAGATCACTTGAGGTCAGGAGTTCGAGACCAGCCTGGCCAACATGGTGAAAGCAGTTTCTACTAAAAATACAAAGATATGCCTGGTGTGGTGGTTGGCCCCTGTAATTCCAGCCACTTGGGAGGCTGAGGCAGGAGAATTGCTTGAACCTTGGAAGCGGAGGTTGCAGTGAGCTGAAACCATGCCATTGCACTCCAGCCTGGGCAGCAAGAGCGAAACTCCATCACACACACACACACACACACACACAAAATATATATATATATATATATATATATATATATATATATAAAATATATATATGTATGTATGTATATATACATGTATATGTGTGTGTGTGTATATATATATACACACACTATATATATATATATATATATATACACACACACAATAGAAATGTCCTGGCTATATCTATATTAATAGGTTTTGCACATTTAAACCAAAGTCACACATATGGTTTGATTCTAATTAATTCTAATGCATCTTGCAGGTTTCAAACTGTATTCTATTATGTAATTATCTGCTGATCCACTCTGTATCCTGTTGTGTAAGTTGCGATGATTAACCTCTGCCTTTACGATGTAATCCAAATGTAGCATATAGACCTCAATGATAAGATTGATCATGGTGCATTTAATCATTAATTTATTATTAATCTCTTTTATCCTGGTACTTAGAGTGCAGATTTTTCTCAACAACTATTTACGCAATCATTAAATGAAATACAGCCTTGTGTCACTTAGCAATGAGGATATGTTCTGAGAAGTGTGTGGCTAGGTGATTATCTTACTGTGCAAACTTCATAGAGTGATCAATCTATAATGGTGATAGCAATTTTTCAACCCTATTATAATCTTAATGAGCCATTGTTTTACATGCTGTCTCTTATTGATGTAAACGTTGTTATGTGGCACATGATTATGTAAAAGATATTAATCCATTCATTATTTATGCATTCATCCATTTGACCTATGGTAGTGTTCTATTGAAAATGAGTCATCGTGATACAGAAATCCACTGTTAGTTGTTTTTACTTTCTCTTGTTCGTGGGGAAGAGTGGGTATTGATTTTAAAAGTCTAAAGAATGGGGTATTGTGAATAGTGCCGCAATAAACATACGTGTGCATGTGTCTTTATAGCAGCATGATTTATAATCCTTTGGGTATATACCCAGTAATGGGATGGCTGGGTCAAATGGTATTTCTAGTTCTAGATCCCTGAGGAATCGCCACACTGACTTCGACAATGGTTGAACTAGTTTACCGTCCCACCAACAGTATAAAAGTGTTCCTATTTCTCCACATCCTCTCCAGCACCTGTTGTTTCCTGGCTTTTTAATGATTGCCATTCTAACTGGTGTGAGATGGTATCTCATCGTGGTTTTGATTTGCATTTCTCTGATGGCCAGTGATGGTGAGCATTTTTTCATGTGTTTTTTGGCTGCATAAATGTCTTCTTTTGCGAAGTGTCTGTTCATGTCCTTCGCCCACTTTTTGATGGGGTTGTTTGTTTTTTTCTTGTAAATTTGTTTGAGTTCATTGTAGATTCTGGATATTAGCCCTTTGTCAGATGAGTAGGTTGCGAAAATTTTCTCCCATTCTGTAGGTTGCCTGTTCACTGTGATGGTAGTTTCTTTTGCTGTGCAGAAGCTCTTTAGTTTAATTAGATCCCATTTGTCAATTTTGGCTTTTGTTGCCATTGCTTTTGGTGTTTTAGACATGAAGTCCTTGCCCACGCCTGTGTCCTGAATGGTAATGCGTAGGTTTTCTTCTAGGGTTTTTATGGTTTTAGGTCTAACGTTTAAGTCTTTAATCCATCTTGAATTAATTTTTGTATAAGGTGTAAGGAAGGGATCCAGTTTCAGCTTTCTCCATATGGCTAGCCAGTTTTCCCAGCACCATTTATTAAATAGGGAATCCTTTCCCCATTGCTTATTTTTCTCAGGTTTGTCAAAGATGAGATAGTTGTAGATATGCGGCGTTATTTCTGAGGGCTCTGTTCTGTTCCATTGATCTATATCTCTGTTTTGGTACCAGTACCGTGCTGTTTTGGTTACTGTAGCCTTGTAGTATAGTTTGAAGTCAGGTAGCGTGATGCCTCCAGCTTTGTTCTTTTGGCTTAGGATTGACTTGGCAATGCGGGCTCTTTTTTGGTTCCATACGAACTTTAAAGTAGTTATTTCCAATTCTGTGAAGAAAGTCATTGGTAGCTTGATGGGGATGGCATTGGATCTATAAATTACCTTGGGCAGCAAAGACTTGGAACCAATCCAAATGTCCAACAGTGATAGACTGGATTAAGAAAATGTGGCACATATACACCATGCAATACTATGCAGCCATAAAAAATGATGAGTTCATGTCCTTTATAGGGACATGGATGAAATTGGAAATCATCATTCTCAGTAAACTATCGCAAGGACAAAAAACCAAACACCGGATGTTCTCACTCATAGGTGGGAATTGAACAATGAGAACACATGGACACAGGAAGGGGAACATCACACTCTGGGGACTGTTATGGGGTGGGGGGAGGGGGAGGGATAGCACTCGGAGATATACCTAATGCTAGATGACGAGTTAGTGGGTGCAGCACACCAGCATGGCACATGTATACATATGTAACTAACCTGCACATTGTGCACATGTACCCTAAAACTTAAAAGTATATAAAAAAAAAAGGGGGGGTATACACACAATCAGGTGTCAAGCAGTGGCACCTCGTGCAAAATAATAAACTCATCTAAGATCCTAGCAGTTCATTCTGAAAATAAAGCTGGAAATATATCTTGGATATGTAAAATGTGAGTGTAAAAATTAATGAAACTAAGCAATGGGAATATGAGTAGTAAATTATTTGAGAAAATATTATAACATTTACTTTTTTAAATTTCAAAACTATATTTCCTTATTTAAAACTGAAAATTTTTGTGTACATATAGGAAACTAATTGTGTCATTTTTCTTTTTGTTACAATATAGAGTGATGTTTCAAAACACAAACATAATAGGTAGAGTCAATTACTTAGGGGAGTCTAAACCTGGAGGTAACATTAGAAATAGAAATAATAAAATGCAGTGTTTTTGGATTTGTCTGTTAAGATTATTTTAATCCAGATCATATTTAATGGTTTACATAGTTGTATATCAAATTTGGTTTCAGAAATAAATTATACAGTAAATTTAAAAATGCAAAAAATGTATATTGTTATACATTCTGTAACCTATGAATCCATATAACTTGGGCAAGAAAATTATATAATTAAAAATAAAACCTTTCTGTTCTCAATTATGTTTTAGGGACAGCTATATAGTTCACACTCACAAAGGAATCATAAAAACTCTATGTATAATCTTGGAAGTAAAAATATCTGTTGTATCATATTTATGAAGTATACAATTGATTAAAAATGATAATGTCTGTCTTCTATCCAACGGCAATAACAGAAGATAATGGCATATAAGTAGGCCTGTCTCCTTTTTTTTGGCATTGATTTATATATCTTTACTAGCTTTGTTGTTTTAACTCCAATAAAAGATTATTTAGTAAGCCAAAGCAAAAAAAAAAAAAAAATCCTGTGAGCAGCCACAAACTGAAAGACTACGATTTTTAGTCAATGTCCTAAGCAACACAGTAATTTTAGGTTAACCAATGTGTCAAAGAGAATGAGGAAAAATTATTACAAAAATGAATAAATAAACTGGTCTAGGTCAAACCGTACTCCTTCTAAAGAGAGTAGTCAACTGATATTAAAGCCTGTGACGTAGTATGTGCCATATTGAGTATGCAATATCTAAATATTTCTTTTTTTTCTTTCTCCAGCTACTGCAAACCCTAATTGTTTCCTTATCCGATCACTTTAAAGTCATTCAGCAAATCATAATTATGCCATTGTTAACATCAGAAACTGAAAACCTACTGTCAAAAGTGAGCTAAAATATCATATTTGGATTTATTTATAAATTTATTTTATAAAAAGATTGACTTTCAATTTGAGAATAACATAAAAAATCAATTCATTCCTCTGTGCATCAATATTGTATCATTGGTAGTTTAAACTTTTCATCTAATATTAGATTGCATGCAGGATTTTATATCTAATTACTCTGGCAGATGGCCTTTAGAAAGTTCAAAAATAAAATGCAGCAATTCATATTGGCAGATTTACTATTGAGACCAATGCTTTCTTAACTAAAAGGTTTTGTTTAAAATCGTTAGTTTAGGAAATCTGATAAAGATTTTTGAATATCAGAGCGTTTAAAAGAGATTCTTACTTTACATCTGGCATATTTCTTGTGTTACATATTATAATTTCATTGAACATGGCTGTCTGTAAAACTATGTATATGATCCGGAAGAGACTCAAATTAAATTAAGTTTTAACAGCCATCAATTCATTTTAAAATGACACAGGCATGAAAAATGATCTATCAAGATTTGTAAATCTTATTCTGTTAGCTATTGCTAGAGATAGTCTAAAGGTATTCTACTTGGAATTTGAGATCAAGACAAAGATTTTCTGTTGGTAATAATATTCAGATTATTTTTATTTTAATGTATAAATTTAAAATTCTTAGAATATTTTCAACAATATTTTCCATTTCTAAATTTATTTTATTTCTAAACAAATGTAATTACTTTATTTATTAACTTTTATTTTCAGTTCAGGGGTATATGTGCAGGTTTGTTATATAGGTAAACCTATAGGTAAATAGGTATACAGATTATTTTGTCACCCAGGCATTAAGCCTATGCGCGTTAGTGAAAAATGTTATTGCTTTAAATATCCAAATTATTCAGCTGCATTTGAACTCATTCTTTAGTCCAATGTAAGTAAGAGTAAAACAATGACATTTAAGGCCACCAGGCTATTCTCATTTTTGGAAAAATGCTGGATTACATTACCAGCATATTAAATGAGAATATCAAGGTGTAATATCTCCCTAGAAATTGTCTCACCTTCAATACTATTGACATTTTTGGACCTGATAATTTTGTTGTGGGCTCTAGCCTCATGTTATAGGAGGTTTACCAGTTTTCCTGCCCTAAACTTACCGGATGTGAATAGCATCTTTGGAATCTTCAGAACCTCTTTAGAGTTTGGGATTTAAGAGTCAGTAGGTAGATAGTGAGCTTAAGATGCCAAACACAACATATAAAGCTATAAAAATCCATATGATCTTGAAAGATTAAATGGAAGCCCAGCACAAAACAATTGCTGAGTATATTATTTACATTATCTGAAAGTATGCCAGACAGACACTTTATATGTTAATAAAGATATGAGAAAGAAAATTCCAAAGAGTTTCTAAAAAGTGAACAACCACAAAATTTCAATAGCTTGCAACAGACATTTTCTTCTCACTCATGTTACCTGATGGAAAATCAAATGGCTGCCTGGAGACAGCATGGAGGGAGAGACTGATTACTGAGGTGCACAAGAAAACTTTTCATAATGATGGTTGTGAATGTAGTGATATTTCCAAAAGTATATACATATATATATATATCTATCTCAAATTTGACCACATCACACATTTCAAGTATACTGAATTGACTGTGCATCTCTTATTATACCCCAGGAAAGTTGAAGATATGACAATGAAAAAAAAATTCTTCCACCGACTACCCATCAATTTTCTTCTCATTAGCCTCACAGATTTCACAGTTAATTAAAGGGAAGATGCAAATATGTTCAAACTGTACATATTCTGAGGCCCATACCTTGCCATTAGCTCAATAAAGAGAGACATTGTCCCTGGCATGAAAATGAAAAACTTGCACACTCCCTAGGTGGCTTCTGGACACTCTTAAGACATGAACACACTTTGGGGGCTCACCCTGTCAGGCTTTGCTCTCCGAGCTTAGATGAGAAAAACACAAAAATAAAACCAAAAGGTGACATTTAGGTGCCCATCAAGAAAGATGTGTTGGGAACTGGACAGGTCAGGGCTTTAAGTACTGTATCTTACTGTATGTTTAAGTACTGTATGTTACTGTGGAAACTTACCCATTTTCCCCTCAGAACAACTCTGTCTCAGGAGGTGAGTCTGAGAGCTACTGTTTCTTTGTAAAGGTTTTATCTGATCAGGCCCACGGTCACCACGTCAGCCCCACTGCCCCTAAATAGTTTGAATCTTGATGTTTTGATTTCAAGGACTTCTGATTCTAGCTACATAGCTTTGTCCATTTCCCACCTTACCACTATTTACTTTGAATTTTGTTGCATGCCGAGACCAGTGACTGCCACAAATGTGACTGTTCCTAGAATCTGCTTTCTGCTCTGATCTTTAGTCAGTGCGCAGACTCTAACATAAACTCCTTTCTATCGTATTTTCTTGAGTCCAAGAGCCCATAGATTGTATAATGCACTATTTTATGTCCCGTTAAGCAAGTAATTCGCATTGTGGCTAATTAAACTAAGACATACCACTGAATTGTAAAATGCATTATATTTTCAGGAGATATTAAAATATGAAATGTATAGGTCTTGGAATAGATGAATTGTGACAGTATCTTTGGAAAGCTAATTCAGTTGCAGTATTGCTTAAGATGTCTTTAAGAGCTGACTTCCTTTAGTTGGAATACATATGTAAATTATTTGCAGAGGAGATTTACCTCTTTTATCTCATTCATTTGTTTATTCAGTCATTTATTGATATCAATATGGACTAAGGAAAATTACATTTTTGGGTATAATCCAAATATAATACCAATTAATGTATTGTGTTGCTAAAATTATTCTAGAAATTGAAAGACCTTTCACTTGGCCCCTGTGCTTGTTTGACATATCTCACGAATAGATTTTTGTTAGTATTTTCATAATTTCTGGCACTAGAGGATGTCCCAGGCTCATCTTGTGTATTTTCTTCCCCATTCTTAGAATCAGCCACTTTCAAAGACGCCCTGCTTTCTATATATGAAATCAATATTTAAGTGCTAGCTGTGCCTGTAGCTAAGGGAATATCAATTTTTTCATAGCTCTCTAAGATGAGAGAGCAAAGAAACAATGTGTATATTCTTACACATATGTAGACACATATCTTTAAATATTTCTATATGTAAACATCTATATTAGTCCATTATCCCATTGTTATAAAGAACTACCTGATCCTAGGTAATTTATAAAGAAAAGAGCTTTAATTGCCTCACAGTTGCACAGGCTGTACAGGAAGCAAGGATGGGGAAGCCTCAGAAAACGTACAGTCATAGCAGAAGGCAAAGAGGAAGCAGGCACATCTTACATGGCTGGAGAAGGAGGAAGAGAACTAAGGGGGAGATGCTACACACTTTTAAACAACCAGATTGTGTGAGAACTAAGTCATTATCACAAGAACAGCAAGGAGGAAATCTGCCCCCATAATCCAATCCCCTCCCACTAGACCCCTCCTTCAACACTGGCGATTACAATTGGACGAGAGGTTTGAGAGGGGACAAAATGTAAACCATATCACCATCTATGTCTATATTAAGCTAAACATGGGTTCTTACTGATGTCACTACCTCTAACCTAGTCCCGCAAGCATCAATGCCTTCCTGTATCTCTAAACCCCCACTCCAACAATAAAAATCCTGACTCTTATTTTGTGACATCTATTTAGTTAATTGTTCACTTCCAGTATATGTATATAGCTGTACCAGAATTGATAACCTGCCCTTAGTAGAAGAACATCTTTATCAACTAAATTAAATGCCTTCGTACAAGTTTCTTTTGCCTTTCATCTTAAGAGACTGCACTCATTTTCAATATCACTTTGACTAGCACCCTTTCCCTTAAGTCCCTCACTGAAGTTATTTTGTATGGTTCATAATAGAGCTAGATAAATTTGTAACAGTCTGCATTCCATCCTGAGATTCTACAACCTTTTAATTAATTTTTAATTAAAAATATAACTTTTATTTTGGTAAATATTAGCACTTCTGTGCCACACTACTATATATAAATATCAAAAAAAGGTCCAGAAAGCTATAGAAAATTTAAGTAAAGTGCTGAATGTTGAACCTAACAATAACTGGGCTAAAGTAAGTACAGAAGGCAATTTTTTATTTACGTAAATTTGTGGGATACAAATATAATCTTATTACCTCCATAAAGTACGTAGTGTTGAAGTAAGGGTTTTAGAATATACATCACCTGAAAAATGTACATTGTACTCATTACATAATTTCTCATCATCCCCTCCTCCCACCCTCCTGAAATTTCCAAGTCTCTGTTGTCTATCATTCCACATTCTATGTCCATGTGTATACATTATTTAGCTTCCAGTTATAAGTGAGAACATGCAGTATTTGTCTTTCTGTGTCTGATTTGTTTCACTTAAAATAATGACCAGTTACATCCATGTTGTTACAAAAGACATGATTTTATTCTTTTGTATAGCTGAATAGTATTCTATAGCGCATATATGCCAGATTTATTAATGTAATCATCCACTGAGGGACACATTGCTATTGTGAATAGTGCTGTGATAAACATATGGGTGCAGATACCTTTTTCATACAATTATCTGTTCTCCTTTGGGTAGATCTCCAGTAGTGGGATTGTTGGGTGAAATTGCGGTTTTATTAAGAATGTATATTCTGTAGTTGCTGGGTAGTATTTTCTGTAAATGTCAGTTAGGTCTATTTCATCTAAGGTTGAATTTAAGTCTTAGGTTTATTTGTTTTCTGTCTTGATGATAACATTTAATGCTGTGAGTGAGATGGTAAAGTCCCCCAGTATTATCGTATTGCTGTCTATTCCTTTTTTATGTCTAGTAATATTTATTTGATGAATCTTGGTGGTCTAGTGTTGGATGCATATGTGTTTAGAATTGTTATATCCTCTTGCTGAATTGATCCCTTTATCATTATGTAATGACTTCCTTTGTCATTGTTATACTGTTTTAGATTTAAGTTCTGTTTTACTTGATATAAGTATAGCTATTCCTGCTTGCTTTTAGTCTCCGTTACATGGAGTATCTTTTTTCACCCATTTACTTTAAATCTGTATGTGTCTTTACTTTTCAGTCTGTATGTGTCTATATGTTTCTTGTAAGCATAATATTTTTGGATCATTTTTTAGTTCGTTCCATCAATCTACCTTTCTTTTTTTTTTTTTTTTTACTTTTAGATGGAGTTTCACTCTGTCATCCAGAGTGGAGTGCAGTGGCGCAATCTTGGCTCACTGCAAACTCCGTCTTGCAGGTTCAAGCGATTCTCCTGCTTCAGCCTCCCAAGTAGATGGGATTACAGGTGCCGGCCACCACGCCTGGCTAATTTTTGTATTTTTAATGGAGATAGGGTTTCACTATGTTGGCCAGCCTGGCCTCGAACTCCTGACCTCGTGATCCACCCACCTCGGCCTCCCAAAGTGCTGGGATTACAGGTGTGAGCAACTGCACCTGGCCCAATATCTATCAATCTATATATTTTAAGTGGAATGTTTAATTCATTTACATTCAAGGTTAATGTTAATACATGAGGTTTTCTTTCTGCCATATTGCTGTTTGTTTTCTACTTGTTTTATAAGTTCCTTGGGGTTATTTTGTTGTTGTTTTTTGTTTTTCTTTCTGTGTGTCTCTTTGTCTTTGTGGTTTGGTGGAAATCTGTTGTGTTGCTATTTGATTGCTCGTCCTACTTTGTGTGACTGTTTTACAAGACCTATGAGTTTGCTACTTTCATGTGTTTTGATGATGATGATGAATGTTGACCTTTCATTTTTGTGTTTGGGACACCTTTGAGTATTTCTCATAGGACTCGTTTGGTGGTGACGAATTCCCTCAGTGTGTGCTTGTCTGGAAAATACTTTGAATCATTTCAAGAAAATTAGCAGTGAGTTATGTCAATCAAGCCATTGGTTTGTATTTGGTGGCACATTTACTCTGTATTATTTCACACTAGAACCATCTGAGTTAAGTTTTATTATTTGCTATATGTTGCAGATGAAGAAACTGAAGCTGAGAGAGGTTTAGTGAATGACTGAAAAGGTTGTCAGGCTGCAGGGAAAAAAACAAAACAAAACTGTACGACTAGCCTGCAATGCTTCCCAAAGTATGTAGCTTATTATTATTGGTCACTTTTTGAGTACAAAATGCTGTGCTATGTAACAAAATAATACAATGTACATATGTATAAAAGTTAACATATACATATCAATTAACATAAGCATAACTGTAATCACATATACTGATAAATAAAAATATAAAGTAATATATGGTAATGACCCAACCATTTGCCTAAGTTTCATGTATTACAGAAGTTTTGAGGAGGGACTTCAGCTGTATGCAAATCAGCAATTCGGGTTGTACAGTTGATTACCCATTAGTTCAGAATTTTAATAATTTAAAATATATTTATTAAGAACCTAACAATTGGAAGACCTTACAATAGGTGGGAAAATTCGACAGATGAATAATGCTTAGGAGATATCAGCATGTTTTGGAAGGATATTCCCATGAAGAGAAAAAGTATTGTGGGAAGTGTGGGAAGTGTTATGGTGCGAGAGTAATATAGGTTCCAGCATGTGTTTACATTATTTTGTTGGAGGTGTTGGGGAACCTTTCATGGAAGGTGTGTGGTAGACTGTTGGACAGGTTTCCTCAACTTTCGTTCCACTCTTTGAAGAGGTTAGAAAATTAAAACAAAACAAGCAATGCAGCTTCCCTTGAGCTAGCTTTATGAATGCAGCTTAGACCACTTACCGATTGTTTGCATATGAATCAGACTTAGAAAAATGGAAGAGATCAAAGCCTGTCTTGCTATTGTTGATTCTGGCAAGTGAAATCATGGGGACAATAGTTCAGAAGTAGTGGAAGTGGTAGGATTCAATATCCTTGTGCCTAATCCCCAGTTTCATGGGCATAAGAGGCTTAAAGTTTTAATAGCAGGAGCATCTTTTTGACCCAGGATTGCAGAAATGATTGCGTGCCTTTGAATTCAAGAACTCAAAACCTTCCTCCATGCCACAGCTACTTTAGTTATTTTAGCCCTTCCTATTGTATATGTATGAAATGCACTTTCTGCTTAAGATACCTATTGCGGTTTTTATTTCCTTATTAAAACCTTGGAAAAATATAGCACTTAAATTATGTTTTGTAGAAATTCACTAAGCAAATAAAGCTAAAGGGGGAGAGAGTTAACCTTCTCTGCCCCCTTTTTATCAGAAGTTAGTTGTAGAAGAAATACACAATTTTTGCGCAATGTTAGCACCATCTAAGTTCTGTAGGTCTGGAACACAGACTGGTTAAATGAGCATTTCAGGAGCGCTATAGTTGCAAAGTTAAGCAGTCACCACAATTTTATGTGTCATACAAAGATTTTTAACTTTATGTTTAAGCAACGAGCCTAGAAGCAAATGGTATTTCCATCAAGAATTGTCTCATATAAAGTAGAGCGTTTTGGAAAATGGAGTTATTAATAGATAAAAACATGTTTATACAGTTGGTTTCTAAGTATGACAAACCTATTTCTTGGTAAATTGCAAGTCCATTCCACCTGTGTTTGTAGGCTCATTTGCCTAAAAGTCTTGGGATTTTTTTCTGATGATCTATTAAATTTTCTTTCTGATTATCTTTTCTAATGCTGTAATAGCATTTCTAACACTGTAATGAAAGAGAACAAAAGTACACGCTTGCTCATCATTTACTAATTCTAAAAATATATATTGAATACATCTATGTAGCAGGTACTGTGGTAGGTGTGGAAGATAGTTGAGACAGGTAACAAGCCCAACATTACGGAGCTTAGCATCACCACCTAGAAGAGTTTTTAAAAAACATAGATAAGTGAATCATGATTATAAAGACAAAGAGATTCTTGCCATATAATTACATATAAGCAAATTTAGGATGTGATGAAAGATTTTGATATTGGTCTTCTGATTTGGCTGTAGGATGAAGTGTTTATAAGTCATCCCAAGGAAGAAACAATTCAGATGAGAACTATTCAATGGATTTGCAATAACAATCCAAAGATGGAAGAAGACACTTCTAGGTAGACAAAATTGCAAGTATAGAGAATGTAAATTAAGAGAGAGCTTAGCTTTCAGATGAATTAAAAGATTGTGGTGATCAGAATGTAGAGATTGACGAGAGACAAATGAAATAAAACTAGAAGGACAAGTAGAGATTTGTGGGTCAAGTTTTAAAATTTTATTATAAATGCACTGATACTGTTCTGAACATTTTCTTACACATGGAAATTTAATGATTATGGCTATTGAAAAATGTAACTCTTCATTTATATTTTTCCGAGAATGAAATCGGTGGAATTGCTGGGGGGTGAAAATGTCCAATGCGAAACAGGAGGCTAATTTAAGAAGGGATACTGCAAAATTGGTCATGATGGCTCAAACTGCTGTTCATAATAGAGAGAAGAAAATGGATAGAGTTACATATGGATGAGAGTAAATTGACAAGGCTAAATGCTAAAACGTGGGTAGTGACAGAAAGTAGGTGTCAAAATAGACTTCCAGGAAAAGAAAAAATGGGTCTACAGAAGAGCCAAATGCTGATGTGGGTTACATGATCCTGAGCAGATGCAGTTGTAATTGGTTAAGTAAAGTAAGTTCTTAAGATAGATTTGGCCTGGCGCTATACATTCTAGAGCCCTTGAATATAAGTGGGATATAAAACCATGGGAATGACTGTATTTGTCTAAGGAGAGAATTTGGCAGAAGAAAAGGAGACATAAGATGAAATGCAGAGGAAATTCAAATTTAATTGGCAGGTGTAGGAAGACAAGGAGATGACAAAAGGAACTGGAAATGAGTAATCAGAGACAGAAAAGTAAAAGTAAGAGTAGAATGTCATGGAAGGCAAATAATTGGAATGTTTCAAGATCAGGGAAATGGGCAATAAAGAGAAGAAAAAAATAGTGACCAGAGGGTATAGTAATGTGTAGAAATTCATCCTGTGTTAGGTTTGATTGCTTAGACGTTTTATATAAAAATCTTTCCCAGAGAGTAATAAAACAGAAGTGAGGTTAGAGAAAGAACATACGATTTAGCCAAAAGGTGGGAAAAGTTAGGAAATGAAGAATAAATATGTTTAAAGATAATGTTATGGCTACTCAATGTACAACCTCTTTTCTTTCATTATTTTTAATTGTCATATTTAAAAATAGTAATTACCACTTTTAAAAATTGTCTTATTATTTGTTACATAAGAAAATGCATTAATTCAAGCCACATAGTATCATTTATATTATGACTGTCGAAACATTACTAGAATTACTAGAACTATTAACCTAATGGCCTGAAAATTTCAACTCACTTCCCTAGCTGTCCTGATGATCATTAGTGAAAGGAAAGACTCCATTAGATAATGCTTACTTATAGAGAACTGGTTATATCTGTCTCATTTCCATACATATATCTGTATAAATTAATTTGATTAATAAAACAAACACAAGGCACAAACAACAAAACACAATTTATAAATGTCATTGAAAAATGCATGCCTGTACAATTTGGGTATTTGTAATTGTAAATTGATATACTTCATTTTTTATCCAGGAGTTACTTAGATTGAAACTTTACCTAATGTATGATAAAATAATACGTGATTAAATTTAAAAACATGATGAATTTATTTAAAATTGGCTTCAATAATGTCAGAAAGTAATAAAATAAAATGATTCCTTCAAAGACTGCACCTGTTTATTGCCTGAGATTATCTCTCTTGGCCACAAATCAATATTACTTTCTTTCATTCATCAGTGATAAAGCTTTTCAATAATTCTAATTTTAAAGGATGATTACAGCAAGTATATAGTCATTGATTGCTTAAAGGTTGCAGCTAAAATGAACACAATGGTCATTTTATTTTTAATAAATGAGCCCTTTTGAAAAGTCAAGCATTTTTCCTCTCACAAAACTTTGTGTAATAAGATTATAGATTTGATCATGTATGAGTTTGCACTGTGTGTGTGTATATATGTGTGTGATTTCAGCGATAAAGTTCACTGTTCCACAGCTGGCAATTTCTTCTGCTTAATTGAAAATTCCGTTTTAAAATATTTCTTTAAAGTTCTAAAATGGGTTTAAATGGGTTCATGAGCTGTAATACTATTAAAAATATATATATATCTACATATTTGTTGATTCTTCTCAGTTTAAGAAGTGGAGCTTCATACTCCTCCCCTTGAAGGCAGGCTAAGCTGAGTGACTCCCATCTAAGAAATAAAACACCACAGGATTGGAATGTTACCTTCTGAGACAAGGTCACAAAGGCTAGGGTTTTAATTTTGAGTGAACTAATTTGCTCCTTACTGGTGTTTCTCTCTCTTTCTCTCCTTCAACTCTTTACGAGCCCAGCCACCATGCAAATAATTCCAAACTATCTTTTCTAGAAAGCTCACATGAAGAACCGAGGCATCCTATCTGATATCCAGCCAAATGATTAAACATTCTAGAAGCAGACTATGATGCACTGAATTTGTGAAATCCTAACCCCCAGTGTAATGATAGTAGGAGGTGGAGCTTTTGGTAGATGATAGTCTGTCTTCATGTTGGGGATTAGTGCCTTGATTATTATTTTTTATTTTTATTTTTATTTATTTATTTATTTATTTTTTGAGACAGAGTTTTGCTCTGTTACCCAGGCTGGAGTGCAGTGGTGCCATGTCAGCTCACTGCAGCGTCTGCCTCCTGGGTTCAAGTGTTTCTTCTGCCTCAGCCTCCTGAGTAGCTGAGTAGCTGAGACTACAGGTACGCACCACCACACCTGGCTAATTTTTGTATTTTTAGTAGAGACGGGGTTTCACCATACTGGCCAGGCTGGTCTGGAACTCCTGACCTCGTGATCTGCCTGCCTCAGCCTCCCAAAGTA
Source organism: Homo sapiens (assembly GCF_000001405.40). NCBI lineage: Eukaryota > Metazoa > Chordata > Mammalia > Primates > Hominidae > Homo > Homo sapiens. The sequence goes on along the minus strand of NW_025791777.1, from coordinate 1,727,373 downwards.
CTGGGATTACAGATGTGAGCCACCGTGCCCAGCCGGGGATTAGTGCCCTTGTAAAAGAGACCCCAAAAAGCGTCCTTGCCCCTTCTGCCATGTGAGCTAGAGGACAGTAATCTATGAACTAAAAAATGGGCTCTGACCAGACACCAAATCTGCAAGCACCTTGATTTTGCACCATCCAGCCTCCGGTACCATTAGAAACGTTTCTGTTGTTTATAAGCTACCCTGTCTATGGTATTCTGTAGCGACAGTGCAAACAAACTAAGACACGGACCTTCCAACACAAGTTAAAGGCTTCAGGGGATGCTGCCTGGGTCAACAACATGACAGCAACCTTTACTCATGAGAGACTTCGAGTCAGAACCACCTACCCAAATCCATCATTTCCCTGACTTCTATAAATTGTGTCATACATATTTGTTATTTTAAGCCATTAAGTTTTAGGGTAATTTTTAAATGGAAAAATACATGATCATAGGTAAACTATAATTAATAGAAAAATCTAATGCCAATAATATTTACCATTGATTGACCGTCAAAACTCCATTAATTATTTGCTTTCCATTTATATTTATTTTTGGATTTCTTTTTTAAGAGAATGGCACCTGTGACAGCATACTGTTAATATTACCCTTTTATCGTACTTTACCATGCCATCTCTGAAGAATATTACAGACCATTTTGGAGCATGGTGAATAAGAAATTTTCACCTTAGGAGTTCACTTGAATAGTCATTTTTATATTTGTGACTGCAAGTCACTTTTAGGGGCTGTACTTCCTTAGTACTGGTAGCATTATTATCCAATGGACTTTTTTAGCTTTCATTAGGTTTTCTTTTGTTTTTGTTCTTTAAAGAACGTTTTACTTGTCTTAGTATTTCATTTTTTAATCTATACTATGAGGCAGTAAGAGTCTTCTGTTTTTCCAAAGTGGAGACTGCTTTATATTTATTTCGTATTGTCTACAGCTGTAGTGTTCAATACATTAGCCACTAGCCACATGTGGTTATTTAAATAAGATGAAATAAAAATTGGCCGGGCGTGGTGGCTCACGCCGGTAATCCCAGCACTTTGGGAGGCCGAGGCGGGCAGATCATTAGGTCAGGAGATCGAGACCATCCTTACTAAGACGGTGAACCCCCATCTCTATTAAAAATACAAAAAATTAGCCGGGCGTGGTGGCGGGCGCCTGCAGTCCCAGCTACTCAGGAGGCTGAGGCAGGAGAATGGCGTGAACCTGGGAGGCAGAGTTTGCAGTGAGCCGAGATGGCGCCACTGCACTCCAGCCTGGGGGACAGAGCGAGACTCCATCTCAAAAAAAAAAAAGAAAATTAAAAATTAAGTTCTTTAGTTGCACTAGCCATATTTCAAATACTTGATGGATACATGTGGCTAGTGGCTAACATAAGGGATAGCACAGATATAAAACATTTCCTCGTCATATAAAGTTCTATTGGATAGTGCTGGTCTGTAGCTTATAGGATGGTATCTTAGTCTGCTTCAGCTGCTAAAACAGAATACCATAAATTAGGTAGCTTAAACAGTAGATATTTTGACCAGGCGTGGTGGCTTATGCCTGTATTCCTAACACTTTGGGAGGCCGAGGCAGGTGGATAACTTGAGCTCAGGAGTTTGAGACTAGCCTGGGCAGCATGGCAAAACCTTGTCTCTACGAAAATCAGCTGGGCATGGTGGTGCACGCCTGTAGTCTGAGCTACTTGGGAGGCTGAGGTGGGAGAATTGCTTGAACCTGGGAGGCGGAGGTTGCAGTGAGCCATGATCGCACCACTGTACTCCAGCCTGGATGACAGAATGAGACTCTGTCTCAAAAAAAACAAAAACAAACAAACAAAAAAACAGATATTTCTCACAGTTCTGGAGACTGGAAGTGCAAGATCAAAGTGTTGGCAAATTGTGTTTCTTAAAGAGGGCCTGCTTCCTAGATTGGAAATGGCCATCTTCTCTCGGTATCCTCACATGGTAGGGAGAAAAGCAGCTCTAGTGTCTCTTCTTATAAAGGAAGTAATGCCACCATAGGGGCTCTATTCTCATGACCTCATCTAAACCTAATTCTCTCCTAAAGGCCACGCCTCCCAGTATCCTCACCTTGGGGGTTAGGGCTTTATCATATGAATTTTTTTTTTTTTTTTTTTTGAGACAGAGTCTCGCTCTGTCTGTCACCCAGGCTGGAGTGCAGTGGCACAATCTCGGCTCTCTACAAGCTCCGCCTCCTGGGTTCACGCCGTTCTCCTGCGTCAGCCTCCTCAGTAGCTGGGACTAAGGCGCCCGCCACTGCGCCCGGCTAATTTTTTGTATTTTCAGTAGAGACGGGGTTTTACCATGTTAGCCAGGATGATCTCGATCTCCTGACCTCATGATCCACCCGCCTCGGCCTCCCAAAGTGCTGGGATTACAGGCATGAGCCACCGCGCCGGGCCTATCATATGAATTTTGAGGGAACACAAACATGCAGTCTGTAGCAGATGGTAATAGGCTGACATATTACACTTGTTGATGTAAATCTGATAGGTTTCTTTCTCTCCAAGGACAGCTTTTTAAATATTTAACAGTATCAATAATTTTTCAGGTTCTGTGAGAATTTTATAATTTATAATTTGCAGACTTAATGTATAATCTATTTTGTCCTAACAATTACAAATATATTTTTTATTTCAGATTGTATATATTCCTACCAGATGGAGATAATTACAGCTTTAAAAATTTTTATTTTTTCATTTTATTTCACACATTGACATTAAATTTTTATGGACACATAATAACTGTACATATATATGGGGTAGAATGTGATGTTTTAATACATGTACTCAATGTGTAATGATCAAATCAGGGTAATTTGCATAATGATTTTTCTGTAGGGAGAAAATTCAAAATCTACTCTTCTGGCTATTTTCAAATATATAATATGTTATTGTTAACTATACTCATCCTACTATGCAATAGGACACCAGAACTTATTCCTGGGTTCTACATCCGTTAAGGCAACCAAGGATTGGAAATATTGGAAAAAAAAATTGCGTCTGTACTGAACATGTACAGACTTTTTTCTTGTCCTTATTCCTTACACAATATAGTACAATAACTATTTGCATGACATTTACATCGGATATTATGAGTGATCTAGAGTTGATATGAAGTATATGGGAGGATGTGCAAAGGTGATGTGCAAATACTATGTCATTTTATATCAGGGACTTGAGTATCCTTTGTTACCCTCAGGAGATCCTGAAACCAGTCCCCCATGGATACTGAGGGCTGACTGTATAGTCCTATCCTCACGGAACTTTCATTCTAATGGGGGAAGACTGACTATAAACAAAATATATGTAATAGGTGGTGGTAAGTACCGTGGAGAAGTAACAAACGGGGCAAAGTGAGTTATACAGCTCCATTCTTAGAAACCTTGGAGTACTTTTCTTAGTTTATACTCGTGGTGGTTTCCTTTTGTCTCCTTTATTACATGGGACTCTGACATGTGCCCATAGCTAGGGTGACAGTAGGATCTACCCGATAGTAGGGTGGCAGTAGGATCTACCCAAAAAGCGTCCTGCTGATACAGGACCAAAGCATCCTGTTGTTCTCGAGCCTATAAAAAGAGCTAATGGTCTTGCTTCTCTTAACTGTGGCCTCCTACACTGTGTTTTGGATGATTGGTGATGTCTTGGATATTCTGTTTCTTTGGAACTTTGAATATACAACACTTTACTAGGGAATTAGCAATGGAAGCAGAGCAAAGATGTACAGAGGAAACAATGCGTAACTCTGATGGAATTGAAGTCATGAGGCAGCAGAGAGCTTAAATTACAGCTTTAAAAATTTTTATTTTTTAGAGGGAATTTACTTGGGAGTAACAGCAGTAATAGTTAACGGAGCCAGAATGCTTGAGTCATATAATTGCAAAGCAGAGTTGGGAGCAACAGATGCTAAAGAGTAGTTGCTGTAGTTCCTCTTTGGGTCGTAGGAGCAGTTGTCATATTACTATATAGCTACTGCATGAAGAAGAGTTCTTAGTGAGGCCTGGGTGAACAGCTCTTCTTAGTATTCTGTGTGACCCCATTTGACCTTTTAACAAATCCCTAAGTAAATAAATAGCCCCTCAGGAAAACTAAGTTTTTCTCTGCTGTTTTTTTGCTTGAGAGAGCTATAACTGTAATAGACTTATATTTCTGAACATTTTAGTGCTTGCCAATATTTGGTAATATTTATGTTTCCTATATTTGTAATGAACATTCTTCTTCCGGTACATTTTTTGTTAAATTATTGTTTGATGGATAAAAGTTCACCTTTTATTGTATAAAATTGACTGAGATTAATTTATACACATTGACAATGGGTAAATAGAATTTTTCAGATTATTAAAAGCTGAAGGATGCCCACGTAAGCAAAAAAAAAAAAGAAAAAACCAACAAAAATAAACCCAAACCCCTCAAACAATTTCGAACACGAAACATTCTTCTGATGCCGGCATCCCTGCTTGCAGGTGTGAAGGGGGCAGGAATCAGCGAGGTGTCCTGGGCTGAGTCCCCGGAGTGGGAAGAGGTGGCAGGAAGGGGATCTGAGGAGGAGAACAGGGGTCCTGGTGGTCTGTGCTTCTTCCCAGACACGGGAGCTGTAGAGGAGACCTCTGCAGCAGATGCTAGGGGGCCAGTAGGCCCAGGCAGTCTTGGGACTTGGGTCTGTCCTGCTGTGCATCCATAGTGGGTGCTTTAGAAACGGGAGGCCCACCCGAAGCCCCTGTTGCAAGTGAGGACAAAGTGTGGGAAGGCCGTGAGGGTCTGCAGTCCGGGATGGCCTTGTCCTCAACGTGCAGTGCACTGTTGATGCGCTGGAATGCCGTCTCTTTTTCCAGGTGCAGGTCTTCAGCCGTGACCCGGTACCCCAGCTCTAAGGGAGGTGGCAGCATCAAAGGCTCCCCTCGCCTGCGTGGCAGCAGGGGAATCTTGCGTCTACGGGGCCTAGAGTCCTGGGATCTGGGGGAGCCACCCGTTGGGGCGATTGTCTGCCCTGGTGCTGTATCTGCCCCCTTTTCACACCGTGTGTGACCCGAAGAGACAGCCTGAGGCCTGTCCTCACTCACTGTCTTTGAGTAACTGAGGGTCAGCTGGCAGCGGGATGAGGCTGGCCCCCTCCTCTGCTTTAGCCCCGGCAAGCCTCCCGTGGAGCTGTAGGAGCTGGAGATGGCATTTCGTTTGGTGTTCGAGCTCGTCCAGGATGTCTGGGATGTGTGGTTATATCTGATTTCTGAGCTCTGGGCGTGGAGGTCTGTCTGCAGAGGCCCGGGCCTGGGCACAAAGGGAGAGGGGCCTCCATTGTCCCGCAGGGGCCAAAATGCAGACCGTGCATCCCCGGTGACCTCGGGGACCGTTCTCTGATCATCAGGATTTTCTTGGACTCTGGGGTCCTTGTCCTGCTCAGGCATCCCTGCCCCGCTCTCCTTGAGGGCCCTCAACACTATCTTCCCTGGACACAAGTCTGGGGACAGCCGGGTGTTGTGGACCCCAAAGGGGTGACTACCTGCTCCTGGGCCCCACAGAGTCCTTGTGCTCAGTGTAGTGGCTGAGCTGGGGGATGCCCTGGAACTCGGAGCACACAGCACTGGCTTACTGTGGTACCTGTGCAGTGAAATTGAAGACAGAATCACCAGGATGGAACACAGGTCTTGCAGGATCACTTGAAACCTTCTTAGAGTTGTCTTGACACCAGTGATGTCGAGTGTGCGGGTGTTTGTAGGATGGCCTGCCACTCAGTCCAGGGGCAGGAGCAACGGGGAGATCCCACAAGCAAAGTGAACTGGGGGATGGGCTGAAGGGGCTCCAGGCAACTGAGCCCTACTCGCAGGTCCTCGGCCTTGGCCCAAACAGGAATGAGGGGCACAGAGTGCCCGGGTAACCGCTCCTGGGAGCAGTGGGGAACTGTCGGATACTTGAACTCTCAAGAGCTGGGCTCTGAGCGTCCTCGTCCAGCTGCCAACTTGGCCAAAGGCTAAGCCAGCAGATTGTTCTGTTGCCGGGCAACGCGACTTCTAAACCTGAGGGAGTGGGCATGTGAGCACATAATGGCACCAGTGACAGAGCGACCATAATGGATGAATAAGCGCAGCCAGGTACCCGCGCAAGGCACCTGCTGGCAATGGCAGGAGGCGGACGTGGGGGTCGTGCAGTAGGTACTGGAGGGAGAGACGTGGGCACAAAGGTCGCGGGAGGAACAGGTGCCCACAATGGCTGCATATTTGCCCGTGGATCACTGAAGATTCCTGCTCTCCTGCTGAGGTGGAGACTGCAGTGAGCTGAGATCGCACCATTGCACTCCAGCCTGGGCAACGAGTGCAAAACTCAGTCTCCAGATAAAAAAAAGAAAAAGAAAAAAAAGAGGCCGGGTGTGGTGGCTTATGCCTATGATCCTAGCACTTTGGGAGGTCGGGGTGGACGGATCACGAGATCAGGAGTTGGAGGCCAGCCTGGCCAACATAGTGAAAGCCCGTCTCTAGTAAAAATACAAAATTTAGTCAGACATGGTGGGCAGGAGAGAGCATGTGCAGGGGAACATCCATTTATAAAACCATCAGACCTCATGAGACTTATTCACTACCATGAGAACAGCATGGGGGAAACTGCCTCCATGATTCAGTTATCTCCACCTGGCCCCACCCTTGACACATGGGAATTGTTACAATTCAAGATGAGATTTGGGTGCGGACAGAGCCAAACCATATAATTCTTCCCCGGCCCCTCCCAAATCTCATGTCCTCATATTTCAAAAGCAATCATGCCTTCCCCTAAGTCCCCCAAACTCTTATTTCAGCATTAACTCAAAATTCCATAGTCCAAAGTCTCATCTGAGACAAGGCAAGTCCCTTCCACCTATGAGCCTGTAAAATCAAAAGCAAGTTAGTTATTTTCTAGATACACAGGGATACAGGCATTGGGTAGATACACTCGTTTCAAATGGGAGAAATTGGCCAAAGCGAAAGAGCTACAGGCCCCATGCAAGTCCAAAACCCAGCAGGCAAATCTTAAAGCTCCAAAATGACCTCCTTTGACTCCATGTGTCACATCTAGGTGATGCAAGAAGTGGGTTCCCAGGGTCTTGGGCAGCCCCGCCCCTGTGGCTTTGCAGGGTACAGCCCCCCTTCTGGCTGCATTGAGTGTCTGCAGCTTTTCCAGGCACACAGTGCAAGCTGTCAGTGGATCTACCATTCTGGGGTCTGGAGGATGGTGGCCCTTTTCTCACAGCTCTGCTTGGCAGTACCCCAGTGGGGACTCTGTGTGGGAGCTCCAACCCCATATTTCCCTTTGACACTGCCCTAGCAGAGGTTATCCATGAGGGCCCCCCTCCCCTCCCCCCACAGCAAACTTTTGCCTGGATTTCCAGGCATTTTCATACATCTTCTGAAATGTAGGCGGAGGTTCATGAACGTTAATTCTTGACTTTGGTGCATCTGCAGGCTTAACACCACCTAGAACCTGAAAGGCTTGGAACTTGCACCCTCTGAAGCCATGGCCTGAGGTGTACCTTGGCCCCTTTTACCTATGGCAGGAGCAGCTGGGATGCAGGGCCTCAAGTTCCTAGGCTGCACACAGCAGGGGGTTCTGGACCCACAAAACCATTTTTCCTTCTAAGCCTCCTGGCCTGCGATGGGAGGGTCTGCTGTGAGGGTCTCTAACATGCCCTGGAGACATTTGCCCCATTGTCTTGGTGATTAACATTTGGCTCCTCATTACTTATGCAAATTTCTACAACCCAGTCTCCTGAGAAAATAGATTTTTCTTTTCTGTTGCATCATCAGGCTACAAATTTTCTGAAATTGTATGCTCTGCTTCTTCTCGAATGCTTTGCTGCTTAGAAATTTCTTGTGTCAGATACCTTAAATCATCTCTCTCAAGTTCAAAGTTCCACAGATCTGTAGGGAACTCTAGAAAAAAATTCTTATTTTCCCTCTTTCCCGCCTATCTGATGCCCGTTTCTAATACAGGTGCACAATGCCTGCAGTGTCTTTGCATAGTAAGAGTGACTTTACTCCATTTCCCAACAAATTCCTCATCTCCCTCTGAGACCACCTCCGCCTGGACCTTGTTGTCCATATCACTATTAACATTTTGGTCAAAGCCATTCAACAAGTCTCGAGGAAGTTCCAAACTTTCCCACATTTTCCTATCCTCTTCTGAGCCTTCCAAACTGTTCCAGCCTCTCCCTGTTACCCATTTCCAAAGTTGCTTCCACATTTTCGGGTATCTTTACAGCAGCACCCCACTCTACTGGTATCAACTTATTGTATTAGTCTGTTCTCACACTGCAAATAAAGACATACCTGAGACTGGGTAATTTATAAAGGAAAGAGGTTGAATTGACTCACAGTTCTGCATGGCTGGGGAGGCCTCACAATCATGGTGGAAGGCAAGGAGGTGCAAAAGCATGTCTCACATAGTGGCAGGCAGGAGAGAGCATGTGCAGGGGAGCTCCCATTTATAAAACCATCAGATCTCATGAGACTTAGTCACTACCGCGAGAACAGTATGGGGGGAACCATCCCCATGATTCAGTTATCTGCACCCGGCCCCACCCTTGACACGTGGGAATTATTACAATGCAAGGTGAGATTTGGGTGGGGACCCATCCAAACTATGTCAGTATGTTTTGACTTCTTGCTTGATTGCTAGGTTGCATAGAGGACAAACATGGAAATTAATGAAGTACCTTAATATCTGGCTTCAGATCTTAGACAGGATCAGAGGGCCAGCTCAAATTTGCAAGGAGGGGAGGTAGATCCCACCATTTTATGGGTGAATGGCAAAATCAAACAGAAATTATGTGGGATGGGAGATACTGATGCAGCCATCTTTGGAAACATTCTACTTAGCTAATTTTATGCTAGGCTTTAGGTCAAGAAGGAGAGAGAGAGCTGACATGCTGTGGTACACACTTATAGTCCCAGCGACTTGGAAAGCTGAGGCAGGAGGATTGCTTGATCCCAGGAGTTTGAGGTAGTGTGCGATGATCGTTCTTGTGAATAGCCACTAGCCACTGAACTCCAGCTTGGGCAACATTGAGACACCCTGTCTCTTAATTTAAAAAAAAAAAAAAAAAAAAAAGGAGGAAAGAAAGTGGTCTCAGTTTTTAATGTAAATATTTTTAATGGGATACTGATATTTTAAGATTAATGTATATTGTATATCAGTTAACTGCAGGTCAATAATTATATAAAACTTAAGGTACGAAAAACATTTATTTTTGCTAACATATCTGTGAGTTGACTGTTGTTGGCTTGGTGAGGCTGCAAGCTGCAGATAGAGTCTAGGTATGTTTTCTGTGTGTTTGTTCCCCCTTGGATCAGTGGACTACCTGAGAATGTGTTTCTGTCACAGTGATAGAATCACAAGGAAACTCCAGTTCTGGAAGTACATTTTAAGCCATTGCTTCTCTCATGTCCACTAACATTCAGTCAGCCAAAGCACATACCTTGTCCATGGCTAACATTGATAGTATAGATAAATATACCTGATCTCTAGCAGGAGGAACTGCATTGTCTTGGGGAAAGGTTTTAGATATAGGGAGGGGTGATGAGTTGGGAACAATAATGTAGTCTGCCGCAAACATATTAAAGTGTAACTGGATATGGTTGCTGCAGAATTTTGAACCTTTGTTTTAATTGTGATTTTTACTCTTTCCCCCCTATCTAGTGCCCTTTTGTAATACAGTAATTATCATGATTTTTGTCTGAACTGAAATCTTCTGAGATTAGATTGTCTACGAAAATACAGTCGATCCTCCTTGTTTTCAGCTTTTGTATTTGTGAACTCACCTACTATTTTTTGTAACCCCCAAATCAGTACTCACAGCACTTTCATAGTCATGTGTTTGCGCAGAGTGTCAAAGAATTTGAGTTTGAACAGGATGATATTCTGCCTTCTTTTTCAGCTCTCATACAATAGTCAGGTATCCTTTTTGTGGTCTATTTAATGCCATGCTTTTCCTGTTTTTGTACTGTTTGTTGGTTGTTTTGCCATTTAAATTAACCCCCAAGCATAGTGCTGAAGTGCTGCTTAGCATTCACAAGTCCAAGAAGTCTGTGATGTGTCTTACAGAGAAAATACATGCATTAAATAAACTCCATTCAGGCGTGAGTGCTGTAGTGCCGTTGGCTGTGAGTTCAATGTTAATGAATGAACAATGTATATTATTTATTTATTCTTCATTTAATTAATTATTATTATTATTTTTTTTGAGATAGAGTCTCACTCTGTTGCTCAGGCTGGAGTGCAGTGGTGCAGTCTTGGCTCACTGCAACCTCTGCCTCCTGGGTTCAAGCGATTCCCCTGCCTTCGCCTCCCAAGTAGCTAAGACTACAGGCATGCGCCACCATGCCTGGCTAATTTTTTTTTTTTTTTTTGTAGTTTTAGTAGAGACGGGGTTTCACCACGTTGGCCAGGCTGGTCTCGAACTCCAGACCTCAAATGATCTGCCCGCCTTGGCTTCCCAAAGTGCTGGGATTACAGGCGTTAGCCACTGTGCCTGGCCAACAATATATATTAAATAAGCACACATACAACAAAAGTAGGTGTTGGTAAGCTTACAAAAGTGTGACCAGTAGCTTGCTGAAACCTAACTTTTTATTTGTTCATGGAACTTTCTAGACCGTAACTACACTGAATAATGAGAATCTGCTGTAATCTTTTTAGGTGCTGTAGATGAGCCATTGGATTAAATTATTACAGTATGTTTCAGACTGCTGTATGTTGAACCCTAGTGAAATGCCTCTCAAACCTTCATAAGGATCACAATCTCATGTCCTTTTTTTTTGTTATTAAATGCCCAGTATGTGTTAGCGATTTAAACAAAATTCAAATATTTTTTTTTTTTTTTTTTTGAGACAGAGTCTCGCTCTGTCACCTAAGCTGGAGAGTGCAGTGGTATGATCTCGGCTCACTACAACCTCTGCCTCCCGGGTTCAGGCGATTCTCCTGCCTCAGCATCCTGAGTAGCTGGGATTACAGGCACCCGCCACCACGCTGGGCTAATTTTTGTATTTTTAGTAGAGACGGGGTTTCGCCAGGTTGTCCAGGCTGGTCTGGAACTCCTGACCTCATGCGATCTGCCTGCCTTGGCCTCCTGAAGTGCTGGGATTATAGGCGTGAGCCACCATGCCCGGCGTTGACTTCTTAATAATAACCATACTGACTGGTGTGAGATGGTATGCCATTGTGGTTTTGATTTGCATTTCTCTAATGATCAGTGATATTGAGCTTTTTCTCATATGCTTGTTGGCCGCATGTGTGTCTTCTTTTGAAGTGTCTGTTTATGTCCTGTGCCCACTTTCTAATGAGATTTTTTTTTTCTTGTAAATTTGTTTAAGTTCCTTATCAGTGTTGGACATTAGATCTTTGTCACATGCATTGTTGCAAAAATTTTCTCCCATTCTGTAGGTTGTCTGTTCACTCTGTTGATAGTTTCTTTTGCTGTGCAGAAGCTTCAAGAAGAAAGGAATCCGATTGGTTCTGTGTCTGTCTCTTTTGGTATTCTCAGAATTATGTAGTCATTCATATAGAAAGATGATTAGGAAAATAGGACAAGAATAGCAGAAATCTACATAAAAATGTAGGAAATTAAAATTAGTTACCAGCATACAAAAAGCTTCTGTATGTTATAATTACATACTATAACTCACCCCTCCTTGGCAAATATTCTCTCTCTTTTGACTTCAAAATCATGGCTTATATGTACTTTCTCTATTTCCCAGATGCAAATATAATTAATTGACTTTATTTATCTAGGAAATGTTACTCATATCTTAATTGTAGTCATTGGCTTGAGTGACGGGTTTTGGTAATTCAACTACTATTACTTGAAAGTAGTAGATTTCATAGGATACTGTTATAAAATCTTTTTAACCTCTTTTCTGATTTCAGGAGTAATTAGTAATTGTGGTTTACTGGAAAATTCAATGAATAGGGTGTTAAAGGAAGCAATTCATTAATAATATATGTAATCTATTGGGAGACTGAGGCGGGTGGATCACCTGAGTTCAGGAGTTCGAGACCAGCCTGGCCAACATGGCAAAACTCCGTCTCTACTGAAAATAGAAAAATTCGCCGGGCATGGTGGTGCATTCCTGTATTCCCAGGTACTCGGAAGGCTGAGGCAGGAGAATCACCTGAACTCCAGAGGTGGAGGTTGCAGCGAGTCAGGATCGCAGCACTACACTCCAGCCTGGGTGACAGTGAGACTCCATCTCAAAAAAAAAAAAAAAAAAAAAAAAAAAAATTAAAAAATTAAATTAAAAGCGGGCTGGGCGCATTGGTTCAGGGCCGGGCACGGTGGCTCAAGCCTGTAATCCCAGCACTTTGGGAGGCCGAGGCAGGCGGATCACGAGGTCAGGAGATCAAGACCATCCTGGCTAATGTGGTGAAACCCCGTCTCTACTAACAATACAAAAATTAGCTGGATGTGGTGGCAGGTGCCTGTAATCCCAGCTATTCCAGAGGCTGAGGCAGGAGAATCACTTGAACCTGGGAGGCAGAGGTTTCAGTGAGTCCAGATCATGCCACTGCACTCCAGCCTGGGTGACAGAGCGAGATTCTATCTCAAAAAAAAAAAAAAAAAAGCAACAGAAGCAAATGAGAGTGCCTGGGAGTGGTCATTGTGGGGCCTTCCCGTTTGTGTGACCCAGGTCATGTCCCTCCCTAAGCCCTGGTCTCTCTTGCCTCCTGCAGGGCTGGTGAATTACCAGATCTCCGTCAAGTGCAGTAACCAGTTCAAGTTGGAAGTGTGTCTTTTGAATGCAGAAAACAAAGTCGTGGACAACCAGGCTGGGACCCAGGGCCAGCTGAAGGTGCTGGGTGCCAACCTCTGGTGGCCGTACCTGATGCACGAACACCCCGCCTACCTGTACTCGTGGGAGGTAATGGTGGTTTGGGACTTGCGTAAGGGAGGTCTTTTGCCCCCATCTGGTAGCCCTGGCTTCAGCAGGAGCCCAGGACAGGTGAACGGGCAGGTGTGGTCCTCTGAGCTTTCTGATGTTTCCCACCCTTGGTGGGAGGCCCAGATTTTTTATTTATTTATTTATTTATTTATTTATTTATTTGTTTGTTTGTTTGTTTTTGTGATGGTCTCACTCTGTCACCCAGGCTGGAATGCAATGGCCTGATCACAGCTCACTGCAGCTTTGAGCTGCAATCCTCCTACCTTGGCCTCCTGAGTAGCTGGGACTACAGGCACATGCCACCATGCCTGGCTAATTAAAAAAATTTTTTTTGTAGGCCGGGCATGGTGGCTCACACCTGTAATCCCAGCACTTCGGGAGGCTGACGCGGGCAGATCACTTTAGGCCAGGAGTTGGAGACCAGCCTGGCCAACATGGTGAAACCCCGTCTCTACTAAAATATGAAAATTTGCAGGGCATGATGGTGCACGTCTGTAATCCCAGCTACTCGGGAGGCTGAGGCAGGGGAATTGCTTGAACCCAGGAGGCAGGGGCCGCGGTGAATTGAGATCATGCCGCAGCACTCTATCCTGGGTGACAGAGTGAGACTGTCTCAAAAAAAAAAACTCCTTTTTATAGAGTTGGGGTCTTACTAGGTTGCCCAGGCTGGTCTTGAACTCCTGGACTCAGGTGATCCTCCTGCCTTAGCCTCCCAAGGTGTAGGGATTCCAGGCATGAGCCACCTCGTCTGGTCAAGGAGAAGGCCTGATTTTGAAGGGCAGGTCCCAGGGTCAGCCAGTGAAGGGCAGAGCCTCTGATTGCTGCTTCTCTGCAGGCCCAGTGGCGACTTCTGGGGTGCATGCACGAGGGGTCTTCCTGCTGTAGGGCAGGCCAGATGGGGCTCAGGCTGTCGGGGCGCTCACACCTGGCGCTTTGGCTGTCGTAGGTGCGGCTGACTGCACAGAAGTCACTGGGGCCTTTGACTTCTACACACTCCCTGTGGGGCTCCGCACTGTGCCCGTCACCGAGAGCCAGTGGGTGAGAGCCAGTTTCATTTGCGGTAGAGGCAGCAGAGGTTGTAGAAATGCTCCTTGAGGCAGATGCCACACCCCAATTTCATGGAGTGATTTGAGTCTGCAGCAGGCAGAAGGCTCTGAGATGTTGTCCTAGCCTGGGCAAAGGACAATTCAGAGCTCGGGGGAATAGGGGTGTGCTCAGCACGACTGGGTGGACAGGCCGTTTGTTGTGAATCGTACAGGCTTCCAGGAGCGGGTGCCTGAGGCTTCCAGACAGGCTTTGGGAGGTGGCCAGAGGAGATGCCTGTTTCCGGGGCAGGAAATGGAGGGAGGGCCCAGGCTGGAGAGGTTCAGCCAGGCTGTCACAAGGCTTTGAAGCTTCCCATCTGAGAGCCTGGCTATTGGAGAGTGTGGGTTTGGAACTTGAGGCTAGGAGGTTCTATTCTGTCCTGTGCCAGCCACAGCCTTCGGATGGGCAGAGCAATGATGGGGGGAAGATGTAAAAGAAAAGAACTGAGGAAAGAAGAAGAAAACCAGCTTCAACAACGGTCTAGGCCGGATGCGGTGGGTCACGCCTGTAATCCCAGCAGTTTGGGAGGCTGAGGTGGGTGGATCACCCGAGGTCAGGAGTTCGAGACCAGCCTGGTCAACAGGTAGTGAATCCTGTCTCTACTAAAAATACAAAAATTAGCTGGGCATGGTGGTGGACGTCTGTAATCCCAGCTACCAGGTAGGCTGAGGCAGGAGAATCGCCTCAGGTGAACCAGGAGGCAGAGATTGCAATGAGCTGAGATAATGCCACTGCATTCCAGCCTGGGCTACAGAATGAGACTCTGTATCTCAACAAAACAAAACAAAACAAAAACACAACAGTCTGTTCTGTGGAGGCCTTGGGCAGATGCTGGGAGCTCTGAGCACGGACTGGTCCCTCTGTTGGGAGCCTCTTCCCTTCATCCCTCCTGGTTAACTTGACTCAGCATAAAGGCCATTTCTTCTAAGAGCCTGTCCCTGACTCTCCAATCGGGGATGTGTCTGTTGTCTCATAGAGTGCCCAATTCCTGCCACCACTTGTCATTTCCATTCGCAACATTTCTTTCATTGTTTGTTTTTCAGAGTCAGGGTCTCACTCTGTTGCCCAGGCTGGAGTGCAGTGGTGCAATCATAGCTCGTTGCCATCTCGACCTCCTGGGCTTAAGCGATCCTCCCCACTCAGCCTCCCAAATAGCTGGGACCACAGACGTGCGCTGCCTTGCCAGGCTAAATTTTAATATTTTTTTTTCCCCACGAGTCAGAGTCTTGCTCTGTCTCCCAGGCTGGAGAGCAGTGTTGCGATCTTGGCTCACTGCATCCTCTACCTCCTGGGTACAAACAGTTCTCCTGCCTCACCCTCCCGAGTAGCTGGGATTACAGGCTCACGCCACCATGCCCAGCTAGTTTTCTTCTTTATTTTTTGTTGAGATGGGGTTTCACCATGTTGGCCAGGCTGGTCTCGAACTCTTGAGCTCGTGATCCACCTGCCTTGGCCTCCCAAAGTGCTCACAGGCTTGAGCCACCATGCCCGGCCCTAATTTTTAAATTTGTTGTAGAAACAAGGTCTTGCTATGTTGTCCAGGCTGGTCTCAAGCGCCTGGTCTCAAGTAAGCCTCCCAAAGTGCTGGGGTTCTAGGCTTGAGCCACCTCGCCTGGCACTTGCACCGTTTTTCTGTGCATGCATCTCCACTCCCACTGCCCAGGACCTGTGGACTTAGATTTGAGTCATTACTGAGCACCTAGCACCCAGCCTCATGCCTACCTCCCACCTCGCACTACCTGTTTGCTTGATGCATTAATAAATATTCCACCTGAATCCACAGCCCATTCACTCCTGTGTTCAAGAGCTATTTCAGGAAGTGAACCTCATTTCTGGCAGTGTTCAGTCCAGTGACCTCAGCTCTGTGTACCCGGCAGGGTGGCTACGCCTCTGGGGGAGTTGGATTCAGGGGTGGGGGAGAAAGAGTGTTGTTAGAGAGCTCGGTCTAGGACTAGAGGAACGTGCCCTTATGTAAAATACATCTCAAGTTAGGGAAGAAAGCAGCGGCTCTGTGCTTTGTTTTTTTTTTTTTTTTTTTCTTTTCTTTCTTTCTTTTTTTTTGTTTGTTTGTTTGTTTGTTTGTTTGTTTGTTTGTTTGTTTTGGGGCAGGGTCTTGCTCTGTGGCCCAGGCTGGAGTGCAGTAGCGTGATTTCGGCTCACTGCAACCTCCACCTCCCGGGTTCAAGCAATTCTTGTGCCTCAGCCTCCCGAGTAGCTGGAGTTACAGATGCGTGCCACTAAGCCTGGCTAATTTTTGTATATTTAGTAGAAATGGGGTTTTGCCATGTTGGCCAGGCTGTTCTTGAACCCCTGACCTCAGTGATCTGCCTGCCTCAGCCTCCTGAAGTGCTGGGATTACAGGCGTGAGCCATTGTGCCTGGCCACCAGTTGTGTTCTGGCAGGGGAAGATGGGACAGAGAGGATGGGAGGGTGTCTGAGCCTTTCCCGGACTGACGGAACCTGTGTCTTCTCTCTTTTGTGGACAGGATGGTGATTGCTCACACCAAAGCCTTGGACCCCTCCCAGCCTGTGACCTTTGGGACCAACTCCACCTACGCAGCAGACAAGGGGGTGAGCCTGGGGGTCCCCACCCCATTTCTCCCTGCCTTTGCCTGGGCTTGTCCTGAAGCCTGCTCATGGGAACAGCTGGAAAGAACCATGTGCTGCCAGTCTGAGCTTTTTATTTTGTTTTACTTAGAAAGATAGAGACAGGGTCTTGCCATGTTGCCCAGGCTGGTCTCGAACTCCTGGGCTCAAGTGATCCTCCTGCCTCGGCCTTCCAAAGGGCTGGGGTTACAGGCGTGTGCCACCGCACTCAGCCGCGGCCAGTCTGTTTTCAAAGATGGTCTTTGGGTTAATGACAATTCTCTCTCTGCTTACTCTCCAGGCAGTGTGGCTTTCTGAATCCAAGGAGGCTGGGCATAGGGAGATGGGATTTGTTTGCCCGGTTTGGACTCAGCATTTTTTGTACTCGATTTAATAGACTCATAAAATGTCAAAGGTTTAAGTGAGCTTAGAGTTCATCTGGCCCAAACCTGGCTGATCAGAATCTCCAGGGGAAGTTTTATTGAAATGCCAGATCTCTGCGTTCTGAGATCCTGATTTAGTAACTCCAGGGTTGGAACCTGAGTTTTTTGTTTTTTTGTGTGTGTGTGTGAAGGCAAGGTCTTACTCTGTTGCTCTGGCTGGAGTGCAGTGGTGTGATCACAGCTCACTGCAGCCTTGAATTCCTGGGCCTAAGCAACCCTCTTGCCTCAGCCTTCCAAGTAGCTGGGACTCCGGGGGTACACCACTGTGCCCGGCTAATTTTAAATGTTTTTGTAGAGATGGGATCTCACTATGTTGCCCAGGCCAGTCTCAAACTCTTGAGCTCAAGTGATCCTCCTGCCTTAGCCTCCTAAAGTGCTGGGATTACAGGCATGAGCCACCGTGCCTGGCTGATACTAGCATTCTTTTTTATTTTTTATTATTTTTTTAAGATAGAGTCTTGCTCTGTTGCCCAGGCTGGAGTGCAGTGGCACAGTCTCAGCTCAGTGCAACCTCCGCCTCCCAGGTTCAAGCAATTCTCCTGCCTCAGCCTCCCAAGTAGCTGGGATAACAGGCACATGCCACCACGCCTGCGCTTGATCGTGGGAGGCAGAGGTTGCATTATTGTGCCACTCCATTCTAGCCTGGGCAACAGAGCGAGACTCTGTCTTCCAAACAAAGCGGAAAAAGATTATCTGCGAGAATGACTGCATTGGCCCCTTGGGTGGGAGGGCTTCTCCAGGGCAAGGTGAGGGGATGCCCAGTGCTGGGAGTGCTGCCTGGAGAGGAGTCAGTTCCAGTGGCGGGGGCCCTGGGTTTTGGCTGAGGACTGCGTGTTGGCAGCTGCTCTGCCTCTCACAGCCCTTCCCAGCTGCACACGTCGTGAGCGTCAGTGTGCAATCACAGGCCTGCCTCCTTTGGGCCACTTTGTGACCATGTTTTTTGCTTGTGGGGCAGGGTAATTTCAGGATCTAAATTGGTGCAGTTGGATGTTCTCAGCCCCGAGAGGCAGCTCTTCCCGTTGTAGGCTTTTTGTTTTGTTTTGTAGAAATGGAGTCCTACGACGTTGCCCAGGCTGGTCTCAAACTCCTGGGCTCAAGTGATCCTCCCACCTTGGCCTCCCAATGTGCTGGGATTACAGGCATGAGCCACTGTGCCGTGCTGATTTTCTTGATACTATTTTTTGTAGAGCTGGGGTCTTGCTGTGTTGCCCAGGCTGGTCTCGAACTCCTGGCCACAAGCCACCCTCCTGCCTCAGCCTCCCAGAGTGCTGGGATTACATCCCCTTCTTACCTTCTCTGTCAGAGGAGCCCCCACAGCATGTGAGTACTGAGTCATGCGGTCTTGTGGTTGCTGAACGGGCTCTGCTGCTCTGGTCCTAGGCTCTGTATGTGGATGTGATCCGTGTGAACAGCTACTACTCTTGGTATCGCAACTACGGGCACCTGGAGTTGATTCGGCTGCAGCTGGCCGCCCAGTTTGAGAATTGGTGTAAGACATCACAATCCCATTATTCAGAGCGCGTATGGAGTGGAAACGCTTGTAGGGCTTCACCAGGTAAGCGGTGTTGAACTTTCTGCTTGTGTATTCTCTCTGGGCAGAGATGCCACTTGCCTCCCCCACCATGCCATCTCTGAAGAATATTACAGACCATTTTGGAGCATGGTGAATAAGAAATTTTCACCTTAGGAGTTCAGTTGAATAGTCATTTTTATATTTGTGACTGCAAGTCACTCTTAGGGGCTGTACTTCCTTAGTACTGGTAGCATTATTATCCAATGGACTTTTATAGCTTTCATTAGGTTTTCTTTTGTTTTTGTTCTTTAAAGAACGTTTTACTTATCTTAGTATTTCATTTTTCATCTATATTATGAGGCAGTAAGAGTCTTCTGTTTTTCCAAAGTGGAGACTGCTTTATATTTATTTCGTATTGTCTACAGCTGTAGTGTTCAATACATTAGCCACTAGCCACATGTGGTTATTTAAATAAGATAAAATAAAAATTGGCCGGGCGTGGTGGCTCACGCCGGTAATCCCAGCACTTTGGGAGGCCGAGGCGGGCAGATCATTAGGTCAGGAGATCGAGACCATCCTTACTAAGACGGTGAACCCCCATCTCTATTAAAAATACAAAAAATTAGCCGGGCGTGGTGGCGGGCGCCTGCAGTCCCAGCTACTCAGGAGGCTGAGGCAGGAGAATGGCGTGAACCTGGGAGGCAGAGTTTGCAGTGAGCCGAGATGGCGCCACTGCACTCCAGCCTGGGGGACAGAGCGAGACTCCATCTCAAGAAAAAAAAGAAAATTAAAAATTAAGTTCTTTAGTTGCACTAGCCATATTTCAAATACTTGATGGATACATGTGGCTAGTGGCTAACATAAGGGATAGCACAGATATAAAACATTTGCTCGTCATATAAAGTTCTATTGGATAGTGCTGGTCTGTAGCTTATAGGATGGTATCTTAGTCTGCTTCAGCTGCTAAAACAGAATACCATAAATTAGGTAGCTTAAACAGTAGATATTTTGACCAGGCGTGGTGGCTTATGCCTGTATTCCTAACACTTTGGGAGGCCGAGGCAGGTGGATAACTTGAGCTCAGGAGTTTGAGACTAGCCTGGGCAGCATGGCAAAACCTTGTCTCTACGAAAATTAGCTGGGCGTGGTGGTGCACGCCTGTAGTCTGAGCTACTTGGGAGGCTGAGGTGGGAGAATTGCTTGAACCTGGGAGGCGGAGGTTGCAGTGAGCCATGATCGCACCACTGTACTCCAGCCTGGATGACAGAATGAGACTCTGTCTCAAAAAAAACAAAAACAAACAAACAAAAAAAAACAGATATTTCTCACAGTTCTGCAGACTGGAAGTGCAAGATCAAAGTGTTGGCAAATTACGTTTCTTAAAGAGGGCCTGCTTCCTAGATTGGAAATGGCCATCTTCTCTCGGTATCCTCACATGGTAGGGAGAAAAGCAGCTCTAGTGTCTCTTCTTATAAAGGAAGTAATGCCACCATAGGGGCTCTATTCTCATGACCTCATCTAAACCTAATTCTCTCCTAAAGGCCACGCCTCCCAGTATCCTCACCTTGGGGGTTAGGGCTTTATCATATGAATTTTTTTTTTTTTTTTTTTTTTTTTGAGACAGAGTCTCGCTCTGTCTGTCACCCAGGCTGGAGTGCAGTGGCACAATCTCGGCTCTCTACAAGCTCCGCCTCCTGGGTTCACGCCATTCTCCTGCGTCAGCCTCCTCAGTAGCTGGGACTAAGGCGCCCGCCACTGCGCCCGGCTAATTTTTTGTATTTTCAGTAGAGACGGGGTTTTACCATGTTAGCCAGGATGATCTCGATCTCCTGACCTCATGATCCACCCGCCTCGGCCTCCCAAAGTGCTGGGATTACAGGCATGAGCCACCGCGCCGGGCCTATCATATGAATTTTGAGGGAACACAAACATGCAGTCTGTAGCAGATGGTAATAGGCTGACATATTACACTTGTTGATGTAAATCTGATAGGTTTCTTTCTCTCCAAGGACAGCTTTTTAAATATTTAACAGTATCAATAATTTTTCAGGTTCTGTGAGAATTTTATAATTTATAATTTGCAGACTTAATGTATAATCTATTTTGTCCTAACAATTACAAATATATTTTTTATTTCAGATTGTATATATTCCTACCAGATGGAGATAATTACAGCTTTAAAAATTTTTATTTTTTCATTTTATTTCACACATTGACATTAAATTTTTATGGACACATAATAACTGTACATATATATGGGGTAGAATGTGATGTTTTAATACATGTACTCAATGTGTAATGATCAAATCAGGGTAATTTGCATAATGATTTTTCTGTAGGGAGAAAATTCAAAATCTACTCTTCTGGCTATTTTCAAATATATAATATGTTATTGTTAACTATACTCATCCTACTATGCAATAGGACACCAGAACTTATTCCTGGGTTCTACATCCGTTAAGGCAACCAAGGATTGGAAATATTGGAAAAAAAAATTGCGTCTGTACTGAACATGTACAGACTTTTTTCTTGTCCTTATTCCTTACACAATATAGTACAATAACTATTTGCATGACATTTACATCGGATATTATGAGTGATCTAGAGTTGATATGAAGTATATGGGAGGATGTGCAAAGGTGATGTGCAAATACTATGTCATTTTATATCAGGGACTTGAGTATCCTTTGTTACCCTCAGGAGATCCTGAAACCAGTCCCCCATGGATACTGAGGGCTGACTGTATAGTCCTATCCTCACGGAACTTTCATTCTAATGGGGGAAGACTGACTATAAACAAAATATATGTAATAGGTGGTGGTAAGTACCGTGGAGAAGTAACAAACGGGGCAAAGTGAGTTATACAGCTCCATTCTTAGAAACCTTGGAGTACTTTTCTTAGTTTATACTCGTGGTGGTTTCCTTTTGTCTCCTTTATTACATGGGACTCTGACATGTGCCCATAGCTAGGGTGACAGTAGGATCTACCCGATAGTAGGGTGGCAGTAGGATCTACCCAAAAAGCGTCCTGCTGATACAGGACCAAAGCATCCTGTTGTTCTCGAGCCTATAAAAAGAGCTAATGGTCTTGCTTCTCTTAACTGTGGCCTCCTACACTGTGTTTTGGATGATTGGTGATGTCTTGGATATTCTGTTTCTTTGGAACTTTGAATATACAACACTTTACTAGGGAATTAGCAATGGAAGCAGAGCAAAGATGTACAGAGGAAACAATGCGTAACTCTGATGGAATTGAAGTCATGAGGCAGCAGAGAGCTTAAATTACAGCTTTAAAAATTTTTATTTTTTAGAGGGAATTTACTTGGGAGTAACAGCAGTAATAGTTAACGGAGCCAGAATGCTTGAGTCATATAATTGCAAAGCAGAGTTGGGAGCAACAGATGCTAAAGAGTAGTTGCTGTAGTTCCTCTTTGGGTCGTAGGAGCAGTTGTCATATTACTATATAGCTACTGCATGAAGAAGAGTTCTTAGTGAGGCCTGGGTGAACAGCTCTTCTTAGTATTCTGTGTGACCCCATTTGACCTTTTAACAAATCCCTAAGTAAATAAATAGCCCCTCAGGAAAACTAAGTTTTTCTCTGCTGTTTTTTTGCTTGAGAGAGCTATAACTGTAATAGACTTATATTTCTGAACATTTTAGTGCTTGCCAATATTTGGTAATATTTATGTTTCCTATATTTGTAATGAACATTCTTCTTCCGGTACATTTTTTGTTAAATTATTGTTTGATGGATAAAAGTTCACCTTTTATTGTATAAAATTGACTGAGATTAATTTATACACATTGACAATGGGTAAATAGAATTTTTCAGATTATTAAAAGCTGAAGGATGCCCACGTAAGCAAAAAAAAAAAAGAAAAAACCAACAAAAATAAACCCAAACCCCTCAAACAATTTCGAACACGAAACATTCTTCTGATGCCGGCATCCCTGCTTGCAGGTGTGAAGGGGGCAGGAATCAGCGAGGTGTCCTGGGCTGAGTCCCCGGAGTGGGAAGAGGTGGCAGGAAGGGGATCTGAGGAGGAGAACAGGGGTCCTGGTGGTCTGTGCTTCTTCCCAGACACGGGAGCTGTAGAGGAGACCTCTGCAGCAGATGCTAGGGGGGCCAGTAGGCCCAGGCAGTCTTGGGACTTGGGTCTGTCCTGCTGTGCATCCATAGTGGGTGCTTTAGAAACGGGAGGCCCACCCGAAGCCCCTGTTGCAAGTGAGGACAAAGTGTGGGAAGGCCGTGAGGGTCTGCAGTCCGGGATGGCCTTGTCCTCAACGTGCAGTGCACTGTTGATGCGCTGGAATGCCGTCTCTTTTTCCAGGTGCAGGTCTTCAGCCGTGACCCGGTACCCCAGCTCTAAGGGAGGTGGCAGCATCAAAGGCTCCCCTCGCCTGCGTGGCAGCAGGGGAATCTTGCGTCTACGGGGCCTAGAGTCCTGGGATCTGGGGGAGCCACCCGTTGGGGCGATTGTCTGCCCTGGTGCTGTATCTGCCCCCTTTTCACACCGTGTGTGACCCGAAGAGACAGCCTGAGGCCTGTCCTCACTCACTGTCTTTGAGTAACTGAGGGTCAGCTGGCAGCGGGATGAGGCTGGCCCCCTCCTCTGCTTTAGCCCCGGCAAGCCTCCCGTGGAGCTGTAGGAGCTGGAGATGGCATTTCGTTTGGTGTTCGAGCTCGTCCAGGATGTCTGGGATGTGTGGTTATATCTGATTTCTGAGCTCTGGGCGTGGAGGTCTGTCTGCAGAGGCCCGGGCCTGGGCACAAAGGGAGAGGGGCCTCCATTGTCCCGCAGGGGCCAAAATGCAGACCGTGCATCCCCGGTGACCTCGGGGACCGTTCTCTGATCATCAGGATTTTCTTGGACTCTGGGGTCCTTGTCCTGCTCAGGCATCCCTGCCCCGCTCTCCTTGAGGGCCCTCAACACTATCTTCCCTGGACACAAGTCTGGGGACAGCCGGGTGTTGTGGACCCCAAAGGGGTGACTACCTGCTCCTGGGCCCCACAGAGTCCTTGTGCTCAGTGTAGTGGCTGAGCTGGGGGATGCCCTGGAACTCGGAGCACACAGCACTGGCTTACTGTGGTACCTGTGCAGTGAAATTGAAGACAGAATCACCAGGATGGAACACAGGTCTTGCAGGATCACTTGAAACCTTCTTAGAGTTGTCTTGACACCAGTGATGTCGAGTGTGCGGGTGTTTGTAGGATGGCCTGCCACTCAGTCCAGGGGCAGGAGCAACGGGGAGATCCCACAAGCAAAGTGAACTGGGGGATGGGCTGAAGGGGCTCCAGGCAACTGAGCCCTACTCGCAGGTCCTCGGCCTTGGCCCAAACAGGAATGAGGGGCACAGAGTGCCCGGGTAACCGCTCCTGGGAGCAGTGGGGAACTGTCGGATACTTGAACTCTCAAGAGCTGGGCTCTGAGCGTCCTCGTCCAGCTGCCAACTTGGCCAAAGGCTAAGCCAGCAGATTGTTCTGTTGCCGGGCAACGCGACTTCTAAACCTGAGGGAGTGGGCATGTGAGCACATAATGGCACCAGTGACAGAGCGACCATAATGGATGAATAAGCGCAGCCAGGTACCCGCGCAAGGCACCTGCTGGCAATGGCAGGAGGCGGACGTGGGGGTCGTGCAGTAGGTACTGGAGGGAGAGACGTGGGCACAAAGGTCGCGGGAGGAACAGGTGCCCACAATGGCTGCATATTTGCCCGTGGATCACTGAAGATTCCTGCTCTCCTGCTGAGGTGGAGACTGCAGTGAGCTGAGATCGCACCATTGCACTCCAGCCTGGGCAACGAGTGCAAAACTCAGTCTCCAGATAAAAAAAAGAAAAAGAAAAAAAAGAGGCCGGGTGTGGTGGCTTATGCCTATGATCCTAGCACTTTGGGAGGTCGGGGTGGACGGATCACGAGATCAGGAGTTGGAGGCCAGCCTGGCCAACATAGTGAAAGCCCGTCTCTAGTAAAAATACAAAATTTAGTCAGACATGGTGGGCAGGAGAGAGCATGTGCAGGGGAACATCCATTTATAAAACCATCAGACCTCATGAGACTTATTCACTACCATGAGAACAGCATGGGGGAAACTGCCTCCATGATTCAGTTATCTCCACCTGGCCCCACCCTTGACACATGGGAATTGTTACAATTCAAGATGAGATTTGGGTGCGGACAGAGCCAAACCATATAATTCTTCCCCGGCCCCTCCCAAATCTCATGTCCTCATATTTCAAAAGCAATCATGCCTTCCCCTAAGTCCCCCAAACTCTTATTTCAGCATTAACTCAAAATTCCATAGTCCAAAGTCTCATCTGAGACAAGGCAAGTCCCTTCCACCTATGAGCCTGTAAAATCAAAAGCAAGTTAGTTATTTTCTAGATACACAGGGATACAGGCATTGGGTAGATACACTCGTTTCAAATGGGAGAAATTGGCCAAAGCGAAAGAGCTACAGGCCCCATGCAAGTCCAAAACCCAGCAGGCAAATCTTAAAGCTCCAAAATGACCTCCTTTGACTCCATGTGTCACATCTAGGTGATGCAAGAAGTGGGTTCCCAGGGTCTTGGGCAGCCCCGCCCCTGTGGCTTTGCAGGGTACAGCCCCCCTTCTGGCTGCATTGAGTGTCTGCAGCTTTTCCAGGCACACAGTGCAAGCTGTCAGTGGATCTACCATTCTGGGGTCTGGAGGATGGTGGCCCTTTTCTCACAGCTCTGCTTGGCAGTACCCCAGTGGGGACTCTGTGTGGGAGCTCCAACCCCATATTTCCCTTTGACACTGCCCTAGCAGAGGTTATCCATGAGGGCCCCCCTCCCCTCCCCTCCCCCCCACAGCAAACTTTTGCCTGGATTTCCAGGCATTTTCATACATCTTCTGAAATGTAGGCGGAGGTTCATGAACGTTAATTCTTGACTTCGGTGCATCTGCAGGCTTAACACCACCTAGAACCTGAAAGGCTTGGAACTTGCACCCTCTGAAGCCATGGCCTGAGGTGTACCTTGGCCCCTTTTACCTATGGCAGGAGCAGCTGGGATGCAGGGCCCCAAGTTCCTAGGCTGCACACAGCAGGGGGTTCTGGACCCACAAAACCATTTTTCCTTCTAAGCCTCCTGGCCTGTGATGGGAGGGTCTGCTGTGAGGGTCTCTAACATGCCCTGGAGACATTTGCCCCATTGTCTTGGTGATTAACATTTGGCTCCTCATTACTTATGCAAATTTCTACAACCCAGTCTCCTGAGAAAATAGATTTTTCTTTTCTTTTGCATCATCAGGCTACAAATTTTCTGAACTTTTATGCTCTGCTTCTTCTCGAATGCTTTGCTGCTTAGAAATTTCTTGTGTCAGATACCTTAAATCATCTCTCTCAAGTTCAAAGTTCCACAGATCTGTAGGGAACTCTAGAAAAAAATTCTTATTTTCCCTCTTTCCCGCCTATCTGATGCCCGTTTCTAATACAGGTGCACAATGCCTGCAGTGTCTTTGCATAGTAAGAGTGACTTTACTCCATTTCCCAACAAATTCCTCATCTCCCTCTGAGACCACCTCCGCCTGGACCTTGTTGTCCATATCACTATTAACATTTTGGTCAAAGCCATTCAACAAGTCTCGAGGAAGTTCCAAACTTTCCCACATTTTCCTATCCTCTTCTGAGCCTTCCAAACTGTTCCAGCCTCTCCCTGTTACCCATTTCCAAAGTTGCTTCCACATTTTCGGGTATCTTTACAGCAGCACCCCACTCTACTGGTATCAACTTATTGTATTAGTCTGTTCTCACACTGCAAATAAAGACATACCTGAGACTGGGTAATTTATAAAGGAAAGAGGTTGAATTGACTCACAGTTCTGCATGGCTGGGGAGGCCTCACAGTCATGGTGGAAGGCAAGGAGGTGCAAAAGCATGTCTCACATAGTGGCAGGCAGGAGAGAGCATGTGCAGGGGAGCTCCCATTTATAAAACCATCAGATCTCATGAGACTTAGTCACTACCGCGAGAACAGTATGGGGGAACCATCCCCATGATTCAGTTATCTGCACCCGGCCCCACCCTTGACACATGGGAATTATTACAATGCAAGGTGAGATTTGGGTGGGGACCCATCCAAACTATGTCAGTATGTTTTGACTTCTTGCTTGATTGCTAGGTTGCATAGAGGACAAACATGGAAATTAATGAAGTACCTTAATATCTGGCTTCAGATCTTAGACAGGATCAGAGGGCCAGCTCAAATTTGCAAGGAGGGGAGGTAGATCCCACCATTTTATGGGTGAATGGCAAAATCAAACAGAAATTATGTGGGATGGGAGATACTGATGCAGCCATCTTTGGAAACATTCTACTTAGCTAATTTTATGCTAGGCTTTAGGTCAAGAAGGAGAGAGAGAGCTGACATGCTGTGGTACACACTTATAGTCCCAGCGACTTGGAAAGCTGAGGCAGGAGGATTGCTTGATCCCAGGAGTTTGAGGTAGTGTGCGATGATCGTTCTTGTGAATAGCCACTAGCCACTGAACTCCAGCTTGGGCAACATTGAGACACCCTGTCTCTTAATTTAAAAAAAAAAAAAAAAAAAAAAGGAGGAAAGAAAGTGGTCTCAGTTTTTAATGTAAATATTTTTAATGGGATACTGATATTTTAAGATTAATGTATATTGTATATCAGTTAACTGCAGGTCAATAATAATTATATAAAACTTAAGGTACGAAAAACATTTATTTTTGCTAACATATCTGTGAGTTGACTGTTGTTGGCTTGGTGAGGCTGCAAGCTGCAGATAGAGTCTAGGTATGTTTTCTGTGTGTTTGTTCCCCCTTGGATCAGTGGACTACCTGAGAATGTGTTTCTGTCACAGTGATAGAATCACAAGGAAACTCCAGTTCTGGAAGTACATTTTAAGCCATTGCTTCTCTCATGTCCACTAACATTCAGTCAGCCAAAGCACATACCTTGTCCATGGCTAACATTGATAGTATAGATAAATATACCTGATCTCTAGCAGGAGGAACTGCATTGTCTTGGGGAAAGGTTTTAGATATAGGGAGGGGTGATGAGTTGGGAACAATAATGTAGTCTGCCGCAAACATATTAAAGTGTAACTGGATATGGTTGCTGCAGAATTTTGAACCTTTGTTTTAATTGTGATTTTTACTCTTTCCCCCCTATCTAGTGCCCTTTTGTAATACAGTAATTATCATGATTTTTGTCTGAACTGAAATCTTCTGAGATTAGATTGTCTACGAAAATACAGTCGATCCTCCTTGTTTTCAGCTTTTGTATTTGTGAACTCACCTACTATTTTTTGTAACCCCCAAATCAGTACTCACAGCACTTTCATAGTCATGTGTTTGCGCAGAGTGTCAAAGAATTTGAGTTTGAACAGGATGATATTCTGCCTTCTTTTTCAGCTCTCATACAATAGTCAGGTATCCTTTTTGTGGTCTATTTAATGCCATGCTTTTCCTGTTTTTGTACTGTTTGTTGGTTGTTTTGCCATTTAAATTAACCCCCAAGCATAGTGCTGAAGTGCTGCTTAGCATTCACAAGTCCAAGAAGTCTGTGATGTGTCTTACAGAGAAAATACATGCATTAAATAAACTCCATTCAGGCGTGAGTGCTGTAGTGCCGTTGGCTGTGAGTTCAATGTTAATGAATGAACAATGTATATTATTTATTTATTCTTCATTTAATTAATTATTATTATTATTTTTTTTGAGATAGAGTCTCACTCTGTTGCTCAGGCTGGAGTGCAGTGGTGCAGTCTTGGCTCACTGCAACCTCTGCCTCCTGGGTTCAAGCGATTCCCCTGCCTTCGCCTCCCAAGTAGCTAAGACTACAGGCATGCGCCACCATGCCTGGCTAATTTTTTTTTTTTTTTTTGTAGTTTTAGTAGAGACGGGGTTTCACCACGTTGGCCAGGCTGGTCTCGAACTCCAGACCTCAAATGATCTGCCCGCCTTGGCTTCCCAAAGTGCTGGGATTACAGGCGTTAGCCACTGTGCCTGGCCAACAATATATATTAAATAAGCACACATACAACAAAAGTAGGTGTTGGTAAGCTTACAAAAGTGTGACCAGTAGCTTGCTGAAACCTAACTTTTTATTTGTTCATGGAACTTTCTAGACCGTAACTACACTGAATAATGAGAATCTGCTGTAATCTTTTTAGGTGCTGTAGATGAGCCATTGGATTAAATTATTACAGTATGTTTCAGACTGCTGTATGTTGAACCCTAGTGAAATGCCTCTCAAACCTTCATAAGGATCACAATCTCATGTCCTTTTTTTTTGTTATTAAATGCCCAGTATGTGTTAGCGATTTAAACAAAATTCAAATATTTTTTTTTTTTTTTTTTTGAGACAGAGTCTCGCTCTGTCACCTAAGCTGGAGAGTGCAGTGGTATGATCTCGGCTCACTACAACCTCTGCCTCCCGGGTTCAGGCGATTCTCCTGCCTCAGCATCCTGAGTAGCTGGGATTACAGGCACCCGCCACCACGCTGGGCTAATTTTTGTATTTTTAGTAGAGACGGGGTTTCGCCAGGTTGTCCAGGCTGGTCTGGAACTCCTGACCTCATGCGATCTGCCTGCCTTGGCCTCCTGAAGTGCTGGGATTATAGGCGTGAGCCACCATGCCCGGCGTTGACTTCTTAATAATAACCATACTGACTGGTGTGAGATGGTATGCCATTGTGGTTTTGATTTGCATTTCTCTAATGATCAGTGATATTGAGCTTTTTCTCATATGCTTGTTGGCCGCATGTGTGTCTTCTTTTGAAGTGTCTGTTTATGTCCTGTGCCCACTTTCTAATGAGATTTTTTTTTTTCTTGTAAATTTGTTTAAGTTCCTTATCAGTGTTGGACATTAGATCTTTGTCACATGCATTGTTGCAAAAATTTTCTCCCATTCTGTAGGTTGTCTGTTCACTCTGTTGATAGTTTCTTTTGCTGTGCAGAAGCTTCAAGAAGAAAGGAATCCGATTGGTTCTGTGTCTGTCTCTTTTGGTATTCTCAGAATTATGTAGTCATTCATATAGAAAGATGATTAGGAAAATAGGACAAGAATAGCAGAAATCTACATAAAAATGTAGGAAATTAAAATTAGTTACCAGCATACAAAAAGCTTCTGTATGTTATAATTACATACTATAACTCACCCCTCCTTGGCAAATATTCTCTCTCTTTTGACTTCAAAATCATGGCTTATATGTACTTTCTCTATTTCCCAGATGCAAATATAATTAATTGACTTTATTTATCTAGGAAATGTTACTCATATCTTAATTGTAGTCATTGGCTTGAGTGACGGGTTTTGGTAATTCAACTACTATTACTTGAAAGTAGTAGATTTCATAGGATACTGTTATAAAATCTTTTTAACCTCTTTTCTGATTTCAGGAGTAATTAGTAATTGTGGTTTACTGGAAAATTCAATGAATAGGGTGTTAAAGGAAGCAATTCATTAATAATATATGTAATCTATTGGGAGACTGAGGCGGGTGGATCACCTGAGTTCAGGAGTTCGAGACCAGCCTGGCCAACATGGCAAAACTCCGTCTCTACTGAAAATAGAAAAATTCGCCGGGCATGGTGGTGCATTCCTGTATTCCCAGGTACTCGGAAGGCTGAGGCAGGAGAATCACCTGAACTCCAGAGGTGGAGGTTGCAGCGAGTCAGGATCGCAGCACTACACTCCAGCCTGGGTGACAGTGAGACTCCATCTCAAAAAAAAAAAAAAAAAAAAAAAAAAAATTAAAAAATTAAATTAAAAGCGGGCTGGGCGCATTGGTTCAGGGCCGGGCACGGTGGCTCAAGCCTGTAATCCCAGCACTTTGGGAGGCCGAGGCAGGCGGATCACGAGGTCAGGAGATCAAGACCATCCTGGCTAATGTGGTGAAACCCCGTCTCTACTAACAATACAAAAATTAGCTGGATGTGGTGGCAGGTGCCTGTAATCCCAGCTATTCCAGAGGCTGAGGCAGGAGAATCACTTGAACCTGGGAGGCAGAGGTTTCAGTGAGTCCAGATCATGCCACTGCACTCCAGCCTGGGTGACAGAGCGAGATTCTATCTCAAAAAAAAAAAAAAAAAAAGCAACAGAAGCAAATGAGAGTGCCTGGGAGTGGTCATTGTGGGGCCTTCCCGTTTGTGTGACCCAGGTCATGTCCCTCCCTAAGCCCTGGTCTCTCTTGCCTCCTGCAGGGCTGGTGAATTACCAGATCTCCGTCAAGTGCAGTAACCAGTTCAAGTAGGAAGTGTGTCTTTTGAATGCAGAAAACAAAGTCGTGGACAACCAGGCTGGGACCCAGGGCCAGCTGAAGGTGCTGGGTGCCAACCTCTGGTGGCCGTACCTGATGCACGAACACCCCGCCTACCTGTACTCGTGGGAGGTAATGGTGGTTTGGGACTTGCGTAAGGGAGGTCTTTTGCCCCCATCTGGTAGCCCTGGCTTCAGCAGGAGCCCAGGACAGGTGAACGGGCAGGTGTGGTCCTCTGAGCTTTCTGATGTTTCCCACCCTTGGTGGGAGGCCCAGATTTTTTTTATTTATTTATTTATTTATTTATTTATTTATTTGTTTGTTTGTTTGTTTTTGTGATGGTCTCACTCTGTCACCCAGGCTGGAATGCAATGGCCTGATCACAGCTCACTGCAGCTTTGAGCTGCAATCCTCCTACCTGGCCTCCTGAGTAGCTGGGACTACAGGCACATGCCACCATGCCTGGCTAATTAAAAAAATTTTTTTTGTAGGCCGGGCATGGTGGCTCACACCTGTAATCCCAGCACTTCGGGAGGCTGACGCGGGCAGATCACTTTAGGCCAGGAGTTGGAGACCAGCCTGGCCAACATGGTGAAACCCCGTCTCTACTAAAATATGAAAATTTGCAGGGCATGATGGTGCACGTCTGTAATCCCAGCTACTCGGGAGGCTGAGGCAGGGGAATTGCTTGAACCCAGGAGGCAGGGGCCGCGGTGAATTGAGATCATGCCGCAGCACTCTATCCTGGGTGACAGAGTGAGACTGTCTCAAAAAAAAAAACTCCTTTTTATAGAGTTGGGGTCTTACTAGGTTGCCCAGGCTGGTCTTGAACTCCTGGACTCAGGTGATCCTCCTGCCTTAGCCTCCCAAGGTGTAGGGATTCCAGGCATGAGCCACCTCGTCTGGTCAAGGAGAAGTGATTTTGAAGGGCAGGTCCCAGGGTCAGCCAGTGAAGGGCAGAGCCTCTGATTGCTGCTTCTCTGCAGGCCCAGTGGCGACTTCTGGGGTGCATGCACGAGGGGTCTTCCTGCTGTAGGGCAGGCCAGATGGGGCTCAGGCTGTCGGGGCGCTCACACCTGGCGCTTTGGCTGTCGTAGGTGCGGCTGACTGCACAGAAGTCACTGGGGCCTTTGACTTCTACACACTCCCTGTGGGGCTCCGCACTGTGCCCGTCACCGAGAGCCAGTGGGTGAGAGCCAGTTTCATTTGCGGTAGAGGCAGCAGAGGTTGTAGAAATGCTCCTTGAGGCAGATGCCACACCCCAATTTCATGGAGTGATTTGAGTCTGCAGCAGGCAGAAGGCTCTGAGATGTTGTCCTAGCCTGGGCAAAGGACAATTCAGAGCTCGGGGGAATAGGGGTGTGCTCAGCACGACTGGGTGGACAGGCCGTTTGTTGTGAATCGTACAGGCTTCGAGCGGGTGCCTGAGGCTTCCAGACAGGCTTTGGGAGGTGGCCAGAGGAGATGCCTGTTTCCGGGGCAGGAAATGGAGGAAGGGCCCAGGCTGGAGAGGTTCAGCCAGGCTGTCACAAGGCTTTGAAGCTTCCCATCTGAGAGCCTGGCTATTGGAGAGTGTGGGTTTGGAACTTGAGGCTAGGAGGTTCTATTCTGTCCTGTGCCAGCCACAGCCTTCGGATGGGCAGAGCAATGATGGGGGGAAGATGTAAAAGAAAAGAACTGAGGAAAGAAGAAGAAAACCAGCTTCAACAACGGTCTAGGCCGGATGCGGTGGGTCACGCCTGTAATCCCAGCAGTTTGGGAGGCTGAGGTGGGTGGATCACCCGAGGTCAGGAGTTCGAGACCAGCCTGGTCAACAGGTAGTGAATCCTGTCTCTACTAAAAATACAAAAATTAGCTGGGCATGGTGGTGGACGTCTGTAATCCCAGCTACCAGGTAGGCTGAGGCAGGAGGCCTCAGGTGAACCAGGAGGCAGAGATTGCAATGAGCTGAGATAATGCCACTGCATTCCAGCCTGGGCTACAGAATGAGACTCTGTATCTCAACAAAACAAAACAAAACAAAAACACAACAGTCTGTTCTGTGGAGGCCTTGGGCAGATGCTGGGAGCTCTGAGCACGGACTGGTCCCTCTGTTGGGAGCCTCTTCCCTTCATCCCTCCTGGTTAACTTGACTCAGCATAAAGGCCATTTCTTCTAAGAGCCTGTCCCTGACTCTCCAATCGGGGATGTGTCTGTTGTCTCATAGAGTGCCCAATTCCTGCCACCACTTGTCATTTCCATTCGCAACATTTCTTTCATTGTTTGTTTTTCAGAGTCAGGGTCTCACTCTGTTGCCCAGGCTGGAGTGCAGTGGTGCAATCATAGCTCGTTGCCATCTCGACCTCCTGGGCTTAAGCGATCCTCCCCACTCAGCCTCCCAAATAGCTGGGACCACAGACGTGCGCTGTGCCAGGCTAAATTTTAATATTTTTTTTCCCCACGAGTCAGAGTCTTGCTCTGTCTCCCAGGCTGGAGAGCAGTGTTGCGATCTTGGCTCACTGCATCCTCTACCTCCTGGGTACAAACAGTTCTCCTGCCTCACCCTCCCGAGTAGCTGGGATTACAGGCTCACGCCACCATGCCCAGCTAGTTTTCTTCTT
This sequence comes from Homo sapiens, assembly GCF_000001405.40. Classification (NCBI taxonomy): domain Eukaryota; kingdom Metazoa; phylum Chordata; class Mammalia; order Primates; family Hominidae; genus Homo; species Homo sapiens. The sequence goes on along the minus strand of NW_025791777.1, from coordinate 1,693,961 downwards.
TATTTTTTGTTGAGATGGGGTTTCACCATGTTGGCCAGGCTGGTCTCGAACTCTTGAGCTCGTGATCCACCTGCCTTGGCCTCCCAAAGTGCTCACAGGCTTGAGCCACCATGCCCGGCCCTAATTTTTAAATTTGTTGTAGAAACAAGGTCTTGCTATGTTGTCCAGGCTGGTCTCAAGCGCCTGGTCTCAAGTAAGCCTCCCAAAGTGCTGGGGTTCTAGGCTTGAGCCACCTCGCCTGGCACTTGCACCGTTTTTCTGTGCATGCATCTCCACTCCCACTGCCCAGGACCTGTGGACTTATTGAGTCATTACTGAGCACCTAGCACCCAGCCTCATGCCTACCTCCCACCTCGCACTACCTGTTTGCTTGATGCATTAATAAATATTCCACCTGAATCCACAGCCCATTCACTCCTGTGTTCAAGAGCTATTTCAGGAAGTGAACCTCATTTCTGGCAGTGTTCAGTCCAGTGACCTCAGCTCTGTGTACCCGGCAGGGTGGCTACGCCTCTGGGGGAGTTGGATTCAGGGGTGGGGGAGAAAGAGTGTTGTTAGAGAGCTCGGTCTAGGACTAGAGGAACGTGCCCTTATGTAAAATACATCTCAAGTTAGGGAAGAAAGCAGCGGCTCTGTGCTTTGTTTTTTTTTTTTTTTTTTCTTTTCTTTCTTTCTTTTTGTTTGTTTGTTTGTTTGTTTGTTTGTTTGTTTTGGGGCAGGGTCTTGCTCTGTGGCCCAGGCTGGAGTGCAGTAGCGTGATTTCGGCTCACTGCAACCTCCACCTCCCGGGTTCAAGCACTTGTGCCTCAGCCTCCCGAGTAGCTGGAGTTACAGATGCGTGCCACTAAGCCTGGCTAATTTTTGTATATTTAGTAGAAATGGGGTTTTGCCATGTTGGCCAGGCTGTTCTTGAACCCCTGACCTCAGTGATCTGCCTGCCTCAGCCTCCTGAAGTGCTGGGATTACAGGCGTGAGCCATCGTGCCTGGCCACCAGTTGTGTTCTGGCAGGGGAAGATGGGACAGAGAGGATGGGAGGGTGTCTGAGCCTTTCCCGGACTGACGGAACCTGTGTCTTCTCTCTTTTGTGGACAGGATGGTGATTGCTCACACCAAAGCCTTGGACCCCTCCCAGCCTGTGACCTTTGGGACCAACTCCACCTACGCAGCAGACAAGGGGGTGAGCCTGGGGGTCCCCACCCCATTTCTCCCTGCCTTTGCCTGGGCTTGTCCTGAAGCCTGCTCATGGGAACAGCTGGAAAGAACCATGTGCTGCCAGTCTGAGCTTTTTATTTTGTTTACTTAGAAAGATAGAGACAGGGTCTTGCCATGTTGCCCAGGCTGGTCTCGAACTCCTGGGCTCAAGTGATCCTCCTGCCTCGGCCTTCCAAAGGGCTGGGGTTACAGGCGTGTGCCACCGCACTCAGCCGCGGCCAGTCTGTTTTCAAAGATGGTCTTTGGGTTAATGACAATTCTCTCTCTGCTTACTCTCCAGGCAGTGTGGCTTTCTGAATCCAAGGAGGCTGGGCATAGGGAGATGGGATTTGTTTGCCCGGTTTGGACTCAGCATTTTTTGTACTCGATTTAATAGACTCATAAAATGTCAAAGGTTTAAGTGAGCTTAGAGTTCATCTGGCCCAAACCTGGCTGATCAGAATCTCCAGGGGAAGTTTTATTGAAATGCCAGATCTCTGCGTTCTGAGATCCTGATTTAGTAACTCCAGGGTTGGAACCTGAGTTTTTTGTTTTTTTGTGTGTGTGTGTGAAGGCAAGGTCTTACTCTGTTGCTCTGGCTGGAGTGTGCAGTGGTGTGATCACAGCTCACTGCAGCCTTGAATTCCTGGGCCTAAGCAACCCTCTTGCCTCAGCCTTCCAAGTAGCTGGGACTCCGGGGGTACACCACTGTGCCCGGCTAATTTTAAATGTTTTTGTAGAGATGGGATCTCACTATGTTGCCCAGGCCAGTCTCAAACTCTTGAGCTCAAGTGATCCTCCTGCCTTAGCCTCCTAAAGTGCTGGGATTACAGGCATGAGCCACCGTGCCTGGCTGATACTAGCATTCTTTTTTATTTTTTATTATTTTTTTAAGATAGAGTCTTGCTCTGTTGCCCAGGCTGGAGTGCAGTGGCACAGTCTCAGCTCAGTGCAACCTCCGCCTCCCAGGTTCAAGCAATTCTCCTGCCTCAGCCTCCCAAGTAGCTGGGATAACAGGCACATGCCACCACGCCTGCGCTTGATCGTGGGAGGCAGAGGTTGCATTATTGTGCCACTCCATTCTAGCCTGGGCAACAGAGCGAGTCTGTCTTCCAAACAAAGCGGAAAAAGATTATCTGCGAGAATGACTGCATTGGCCCCTTGGGTGGGAGGGCTTCTCCAGGGCAAGGTGAGGGGATGCCCAGTGCTGGGAGTGCTGCCTGGAGAGGAGTCAGTTCCAGTGGCGGGGGCCCTGGGTTTTGGCTGAGGACTGCGTGTTGGCAGCTGCTCTGCCTCTCACAGCCCTTCCCAGCTGCACACGTCGTGAGCGTCAGTGTGCAATCACAGGCCTGCCTCCTTTGGGCCACTTTGTGACCATGTTTTTTGCTTGTGGGGCAGGGTAATTTCAGGATCTAAATTGGTGCAGTTGGATGTTCTCAGCCCCGAGAGGCAGCTCTTCCCGTTGTAGGCTTTTTGTTTTGTTTTGTAGAAATGGAGTCCTACGACGTTGCCCAGGCTGGTCTCAAACTCCTGGGCTCAAGTGATCCTCCCACCTTGGCCTCCCAATGTGCTGGGATTACAGGCATGAGCCACTGTGCCGTGGATTTTCTTGATACTATTTTTTGTAGAGCTGGGGTCTTGCTGTGTTGCCCAGGCTGGTCTCGAACTCCTGGCCACAAGCCACCCTCCTGCCTCAGCCTCCCAGAGTGCTGGGATTACATCCCCTTCTTACCTTCTCTGTCAGAGGAGCCCCCACAGCATGTGAGTACTGAGTCATGCGGTCTTGTGGTTGCTGAACGGGCTCTGCTGCTCTGGTCCTAGGCTCTGTATGTGGATGTGATCCGTGTGAACAGCTACTACTCTTGGTATCGCAACTACGGGCACCTGGAGTTGATTCGGCTGCAGCTGGCCGCCCAGTTTGAGAATTGGTGTAAGACATCACAATCCCATTATTCAGAGCGCGTATGGAGTGGAAACGCTTGTAGGGCTTCACCAGGTAAGCGGTGTTGAACTTTCTGCTTGTGTATTCTCTCTGGGCAGAGATGCCACTTGCCTCCCCCACCCTGCCCTGCGCCCACTGCAGTGCTCCCCTTGCTTCAGTTGGGCTCACCTCCCGCTACCCTGTCCACGTTCCCTTCTCACCAGCAGCCAGGCCTCTGCCCCACTCGCTTGGTCCTCAAAGGTGGACTCCTTACTGGCCTTGTTTCCAGACAGCCTCCTATCACCCGTGCCCAAGTGGTCTTTCTAAGAAATCCAAATTTTTATGTGTTTTTGAGACCGCCTCTCTCTGTGTCACCCAAGCTGGAGTGCGGTGGTGCGATCACTGCTCACTGCAGCCTTAACCTCCTGGGCCCAAGCGATCTTCCCACCTCAGCCTCCTGAGTATCTGGGACCATAGGCACAGGCCACCATGCCTGGCTAATTTTTTTACTTTTGTAGAGATGGGGCCTTGTTGTGTTCCCCGGGCTGGTCTTGAATTCCTGGGATCAAGTGACCCTCCTGCCTCAGGCTCACAAAGCGCTGGGATTTACAGGTGTGAGCCACTGTGCCCGGCCACAAATCAAAATTTTTGAGTCCTGTCATTGGCTCCCCCAGGCCTAGGACAAAGTCCTAACCCCTAGTCAGGACACTCAGTGTCCTCTGCTCTCTCCTGGGTTTTCATCCTCTTCTCTTCTCACTCCTGGCCACTGATCTGTTTCCACTGCCCTCATTTGCTCTCCTGCTCTTGCTTGAGCTATTCTTTCTGCCTGGAATGCCCAAGTTGGCACCATAATCACCAACTAAAAGATCCTTTTCTTTTTATTTTTTTAGAGATAGGGTCTTGCTAGGTTGCCCAGGCTGGTCTCAAACTCCTGGACTCAATTGATCTTTTTGCCTTGGCCTCCCAAAGTTCTGGGATTAACAGGTGTGATCCACTGTGCTAGCCTTTTTTTATTTTTTATTTTTTTCCTGACAGGGTCTTGTTCTGTTGCCCAGGCTGGAGTGTGGTGGTGTCATCATAGCTCACTGCAGCCTCGAACTCCTGGGCTGAAGCAATTCCCCTGCCTCAGCCTCCTGAGTAGCTGGGACTACAGGCGTGCACCACCATGTGCAGCCTAGTTTTAAAATATTTTGTAGAGATGCAGTCTCGCTATCAGGCTGGTCTTCACCTCCTGTCTTGGACTCCCAAAGTACTGGGAATACAGGCATGAGTCACGACACGTGGCTGAAAAGATTCCTATTTGGCATCTGAGTCTCCTCATAGCTGTCCCCTCTGTGGGGAGGTTTACCCTGCCTGCCCCAGGCGGAGGGAACCTTCCCCGTGCTCTGCCCTGTTGCAGCCGGAACCTGGCTCCCCCAACATTCTCGCCAGGCACCGTTGTTATTTCTTTGGCTCTCTCTTTGATCGGACTGTGGGCTCAGGAGACAGGAGTCCTATTTATTATTGTTTCCCAGGTACTCTGCAATAGCTGACACAGTACATGCTAAATAATACCTATTGAGGGCATGGGTGAGATCTTAGAGCCATGTTTAATCACTCACTTTGTCTTTTTTTTTTTTTGAGATGGAGTCTCACTCTGTCACCCAGGCTGAAGTGCAATGGTGTGATCTCAGCTCACTGCAACCTCCACTTCCTAGGCTCAAGCGATTGTCCTGCCTCAACCTCCCAAGCAGCTGGGATTACAGGCACCTGCCACCATGCCCAGCTAATTTTTGTATTTTTGTAGAGGTGGGGTTTTGCCATGTTGGCCAGGCTGGTCTTGAGCTCCTGACGTCAAGTGATTTGCCTGCTTCCGCGTCCCAAAATCCTGGGATTACAGGCCTGAGCCACCATGCCTGGCCTGTCCTCATTTGTTTATCCATCTCATTTTTTGTCCTTCTCACCAAAGATATGTTGCTTTGTCTTGTGGGGTTTTTTTCATGTGGATTCCTGAACCCCATCCAGCCCCTTGTCCCCTCCCCAGCCAGCTCACACTCTTTTGCACAGCTCCTGGGACTCCCGTTGACACACAGGGAACAGCCACCCACAATGGACTGCACTGTTCTGTTTGCACCCTTAAATTTATCGTGCTTACAGAATGACACTTCTGCAAACTAGTCAAGTAGGGGGAAGTGATGTGGATATGCACCCTTGTTCATTCTCTTTGAAAAGGTAACCAGCTCTGAATTCTTTCTCCTTTTAGGAGGAGTTTCACTTGTCGCCCAGGCTGGAGTGTAGTGGTGCAATCTTGACTCACTGCTACCTCCGCCTCCCAGGTTCAAGCAATTCTCCTGCACCAGCCTCCCAAGTAGCTTGGATTACAGGCATGCACCACCATGCTCACCTAATTTTTTTTTTTTTTTTTTTTTTTTTAGTAGAGATGAGGTTTCACCATGTTGGTTAGGCTGGTCTTGAACTTTTGACCTCAAGCGATCCACCTGCCTTGGCCTCCCAAAGTGCTGGAATTACAGGCATGAGCCACCATACCCAGCCCCAGTTCTGAATTCTTAAGAAACTCGAGAGGGTCTAGGTGAGCATTGATAGAACCTCTGCAGTGCTGGGTGTGCTGGCTCACACCTGGAATGCTAGCCCTTTGGGAGACCGAGGTCAGAGGATCTCTTGAGCCCAGGAGTTTGAGACCAGTCTGCACAACATGGACCCCATCTCTACAAAATATTTAAGATGAGTTGTGGCTGGGTGCAGTGGCTGACGCCTGTAATCCCAGCACTTTGGGAGGCTGAGGTGGGTGGATCACGAGGCCAAGAGTTCAAGTCCAGCCTGACCAAGATGGTGAAACCCCGTCTCTACTAAGAAAACACAGAAATTAGCTGGGTGTGGTGGCATGCACCTGTAATCCCAGCTACTCAGGAGGCTAAAGCAGGAGAATCGCTTGAACTGGGGAGGTGGAGGTTGCAGTGAGCCGAGATTGTGCCACTGCACTCCAGCCTGGGCGACAGAGCAAGACTCCGTCTCAAAAAAAAAAAAAAAAAATAGTTGGGTATGGTCGTGCTTGCCTCTAGTCCCAGCTACTTGGGAGGCTGAGGTAGGAGGACTGTTTGAGCCCAGTAGGTCAAGGCTGCAGTCCGCCATAATTGCACCACTGTACTCCCACCTGGGTGACAGAGTGAGACCTTGTTTCAAAAAAGAACCTTTGCAATGATGGAAATGCCCCATGTCTGCACTGTCTGAAATGGTAGCCACTAGCTACATGTGGCTATTGAGGTCTTGATATATGACTAGGATAACTGAATTTATTTGGTTTAATTAAAAAAAATTTTTTTTTGAGACAGCCTTACTCTGTTGCCCAGGCTGGAGTGCAGTGGCGTAATCACAGCTCACTGCTCAACCTCCTGGGCTCAAGTGATCCTTCCTCCTCGGCCCCCCAAGTAGCTGGAGCCACAGTCATGCGCCACTACACCTAGCGAATATTTAGCCTTTTTATAGAGACTGGGTTTTACTGTGTTGCCTAGGCTGATCTTGAACTCCTGAGCTCAAGTGATCCTCCTGCCTCGACCTCCCAAAGTGCTGGGATTACAGACCTGAGCTACCATGCCCAGCCTGGTTTAGTTTAATTTCATTTTACATTCATTCATTCATTCATGAGATAGGGTCTTGTTCTGTCACCCAGGCTGGAGTGTAGTGGTGCAAACCACAGCTTTGACCTCCGGGACTGAAGCAGTCCTCCCACCTCAGCCTCCCAAGTAGCTGGGACCACAGGTGTGTGCCTCCATGCTTGGCTAACTTTTGTACTTTTTGTAGGCTAGTCTTGAACTCCTAGGCTCAAGCAGTCCTCCCACCTCGGTCTCCCAAAGTGCTTGGATGACAGACATGAGCCAGCGCGCCTGACCTAAAGACATATTTTTCCTTCTAGTGTAGTTCAGCCTTAAGACTGTATCAGCAGACAGAGACGGAAAAGTAAGAAAAATTGAGTATCAGTTTATATTTATAAATAAAGCAGTTGCTAATTGATGGTTTTTTTTTAAACCTCCTTTTTAATTCTGGGTTACATCATTCCCTGGCTGTCGTTTCTTTTTTTGTATTTTTTTATTATTATTATTATACTTTAAGTTTTAGCGTACATGTGCACATTGTGCAGGTTAGTTACATACGTATACATGTGCCATGCTGGTGTGCTGCACCCACTAACTCGTCATCTAGCATTAGGTATATCTCCCAATGCTATCCCTCCCCCCTCCCCCACCCCACAACAGTCCCCAGAGTGTGATGTTCCCCTTCCTGTGTCTATGTGATCTCATCGTTCAATTCCCACCTATGAGTGAGAATATGCGGTGTTTGTTTTTTTGTTCTTGCGATAGTTTACTGAGAATGATGATTTCCAATTTCTCCCTGGCTGTCTTTACCCTAGCATCAGTGAGTCCTGCAGTCCCTACAGCCCCCAGTGAGGACAGATATTTTGGTCACCATCAAGTGGATCTTTATTTTTATCTAACATTTACAATTCTGCCAGTTCTTACTCTTAATTCTCTTTGCCTTGAATCCCAGGATCCACCTCTGATGTTCAGTGAAGAGGACCGGAAAAGTCTGCTAGAGCAGTACCATCTGGGTCTGGATCAAAAACGCAGAAAATACGTGGTTGGAGAGCTCATCTGGAATTTTGCCGATTTCATGACTAACCAGTGTAAGTGGCAGTTTAGCGCATGGGATAATGTACCCGTCCTCATTTTTTCAGGTTGCCTTGCCCATTCTGGACATTTTGGCTGTAAGAATATTGGAAACAAAGGGGGGAACCTGGTTTAATCCATGTAGGTTGTGTTGAGAATTTCCTAGGAAAAGTAAGTTGTGCTTAGGAAGTAGGAAAGCAGTCAGGCCCCCGCTTCCCACGTACGGTCAAAAAGCAAACATGAGAGTCTGCTATAGTGAGATGGAAATGGCTAGCTTGCCTTTTTCTTGTCTATTTCATAGCCAAGGATGAAGGAAAAACTGGACCTCATTATGGATTTACTTTTGGGATACACTCATTATTCCAGAGGAGGGTAAAAGGCTGAGAAGCTTAAGGTATTTCAGTCTGTTTTATGTTACTCATTTGCGAAAAGCAGGCTCATCGAATACAGGTGAGTTTCAACGCGTCTTGAATATGGCAGCATTTAAAAGTCTTCAGACCAGGCATGGTGGCTCATGCCTGTCATCCCAGCACTTTGGGAGGCCAAGGTGGGAGGATTGCTTGAGGCCAGGAGTTCGAGACCAGCCTGTTCAGCATAGCAGGACCCCCATCTCTACAAAAACTAAACAGATTAGCTAGGTGTGGTGGTGTGTGCCTGTAGTCCTAGCTGCTTGGGAGGCTGAGGCAGGCGGATAGCCTGAGCACAGGAGTTGGAGGCTGCAGTAAGCCATGATTACACCACTGCACTTGAGCCTGGGCAGCAGAGTGAGACCTGTCTTTAAAAAAAAAAAGGAGCTGGGCACGGTGGCTCATGCCTGTAATCCCAGCACTTTGGGAGGCCGAGGCAGGCAGATCACGAGGTCAGGAGATCGAGACCATCCTGGCTAACAGTGAAACCCTGTCTCTACTGAAAATACAAAAAAAATCAGCCGGGCGTGGTGGCGGGTGCCTGTAGTCCCAGCTGCTCGGGAGGCTGAGGCAGGAGAATGGCATGAACCCAGGAGTTGGAGCTTGCAGTGAGCCGAGATTGTGCCACTGCACTCCAGCCTGGGCGACAGTGAGACTGCTTCTCAAAAAAAAAAAAAAAAAAGAAAGGGTCTTCAAAGACAATAAGATCTGTGCTCTCACGTAGGGTGGATGAGGGGCTGCCAAGTTAGCAATGAATGTTTCCCATTTCTTCTTAGTTTATGGACTTTCCATAAACTCAGGATGGCAGTTTGGTTGGTTGGAGAAGGATATGGTGATGGCGGGAGTTACAATACATTACTTATAGGGGAAGATAGGCTTTTGAAAGGTTAAAGCTTAAAAGTGAGAATGGAAAAGGGATGAATGAATGAACATGATGAGGTGAGAGGGAAGAGGTAAAGGGAAAAGGAGAACAAGCAACTCTTCTCTGCGTGGCACCTGGGATGAATGGTTTCTGGGGACATCCCTGATGGCAGTTTTGTGGAGAGGTGCAAAGCTTTATGTGTTAAGAAATGAGCTGTAGGCTCAGTGCAGTGGCTCACGCCTGTAATCCCAGCACTTTGGGAGGCCGAGGTGGGTGAAAAGAAAAAATGGGCTGGGCGCCGTGGCTTACGCCTGTAATCCCAGCACTTTGGGAGGCCGAGGTGGGCGGATCATGAGGTAAGGAGTTCGAGAGCAGCCTGGCCAACATGGTGAAACCGTGTCTCTCCAAAAAAATAGAAAAAACATCCCTGTATGGTGGTGAGCACCTGTAGTCCCAGTTACTCAGGAGGCTGAGGCATGAGAATCGCTTAAACCTCGGAGGCGGAGGCTGCAATGAGCTGAGATGGTGCCACTGCACTCCAGCCTGGGTGACAGAGCTGGGTGGTGGCTCAAGATATGTTTTGTAAACCTGAAGATTTGAGATCATATAAGCCAAATCGAAACTTAATTGGCATTCATAACTTTTGGTTCTAGAGACTCCATGATCAACTAAGAGCCACCAAACATTTCCCATGTAGACTATTTTGACCATGCTGACTCTACTGACACTGTGGTTACTGAATTCACTTTATCTCTAGAAATTAATTCTTACTAATGGATGTCTGTCACTGTAAGATCCTTCTCTCCTCTGAAATAAGGAGAACATTTTAACTTCAGTAGTTTAAACTAGTGTCCTAAACTATAGCATTCAAAATGAGATAATATGCTAAAGTAATACACAAACCAAAAATCCCAGTGGCTAACACAAAAAGTTTTTCTTACTCATTTTACATATCCAGGGTAAGTCAGTAATAGACGCAGACACACCCAGAGACCAAGGATGAGTTGTGATCTGTCTGCACACATAGTTCACAATGCCTGAGTGAGTTGTGCTTTGGCCTTTAAACTTCCACTCATGTTTAATTAATAAAGATTTTGCTCAAATGCCATTTGATGATGAGTTTCATGACGATGATCAACTTTAAAAGAACTTGGAAGTACAATCCTCAAGCGTTTCTGGAAATAGCAGAACTACAATATTTGAGAAAAATATTTTTTAATGTATAAAAAATTGGCAGGGTAGGCTAGCAAGCAAGAGACCTAGAGAAAAGTTGATGTTACAGTCTCAAGTCGAAAGGCAATCTGCAGGCAGAATTATTTCCTTGAGGGATCTCAGTCTTTTAATATAATCAATTGACTGGATGAGCCCTACAATATTTTGGAAAATAATCTGCTTTTCTCAGAAATTACTGATTTTCATGTTAATCTCATCTAACAATACTTTCAGAGCAACATCTATACTGGTATTTGAATATATAACTCTTTTATCTTTTAAAATATCAAATAATACAGTTATATATATATACACACATATGTATATATGTCACCTAAATTGTAGATATCAGAAATCAGAATGCTGTGATATGAATATTTAGTATATTTTAATCATGATAAATTATACATCCTTCTACCTTATGATAATGGATTTTAAGATCTATGCTGTTAAACTCTATATTTATCCTTTAATTCATATCTTGCTTATTTTACATTTATCTGAGAATACATTGGGTCTACTAAATCTTTACTATCATTCACAAGTCTTACATCTTAAGATAACTTTTCAATAAAATAAAAATTCTTCATTGCACCTAGAAAGGAGCAGGGTTTTGAAAGCGATCAATGATTACTCTGATACCTAATATAATAATATAATATAGTAAAAATCAAAATACTTGAATGAAAAATGTAAAATTAATAGTTTTGCTTTCATTGTTTTTATTCCAGTGTCTATTTTAGAATGTTTTTACTCTAATTGTGTTTTTATGCAAAACCAAATGAGCTTTAGATAATTCCATTGATACATTACATATGAAAGTTCTCGTTAAATAGGATATAGCATATTTTACTTAAAAATCCAAATTATAAAATAAAGAGGGATTTTAAGTTGAGTCTAAAATTTTTGTTTCAATTTTGTTTTTATTTAAAGACTTGCTATAATTCTGTGAGAGAGCTATAAAAGTCTGCTCAGAAACATTATAATGTAAAATGGACAGAGAAGGACAATGAGATATTTAATTTGCCACGGCAAAGCCATTGCTGTGAAGAATGGATAATATATGTCAATGGTAATATATGAAGAAATAACACAGGTGAATAGCAGAGGCAATAAATCTGTTTTTACCACAGGACTTGTCTTACACTTTTCTCTTAGTAATAAATAAAATAATTTTCGACCAGATGGAGCTGGCTTGAAATCCTCTTGTTTATGGCAGTACATATCGGTTATGATTCAAAAAATATAGCCCATTTCCAAAAACCTGCAACAAAGAGATACTTTCTCAGGTGAGTGTTCAGATCATTATTCATTACAAAGTGTCAGTTTTGTCTTTATTGATCCTCATTATTGTAAGAAAGTATGTGGTCCTGTCTCCATTCTATTAAAACAACATTGTAGAGATTAGCACTGAGTCTTTCCAGCCATGTGCATCTGTTCATTTCCGTCTCCAGCTTGAGTTTTTCTGTGTATTACAAAATAAGAAAACAAAAATGACACAATAATCTATTTTGTCTGGTTTTGCTCTTTATTAGTAGAAATAGACAAGTGAGGAGTTGGAGGAAGAAATTGCTTCTGATCTGTTTTAGATACAGGTGAAACTCTCCCTCCCTCCCCGCCCCACCCAGTCTTTCTCTGTCTCCCTCCCTGAGCCTATTCTTGCTTCTTCCCTTTACAAATAATTAACTGCTCAGGTCATGTTGAACCAAAAAATAGCGTCTGTAGCCCCTGTGTGCTTACTTTAAGTATATGTTACTGAAAAATGCGGAGTGAGCACTTAACAACTCATTCTCCTGGGAAGCACAGTGCTACTATACCCCAAATGCTTTTCTTTATCATTTTAATTTTTATCTTCTTTACTTACATTTCCAACATCAGTTAAGAGGGTCTTGTAGTTTTCTAACTGAAAGGAGACTGTAAAATCTCCTTGCTCAAAACTCAGATGCAGAATATTATTTTTACTACAATAAATACATCTACAACAATGGTATTATATCTGGTTTATTTCAAAGTCAAGTTCTAATATAGGTAAACAAATATACTAATAAAGAGATAATGCTTTTCTCATGAAATGTATAATCTAGTAGGAATAAAGATAAACAATTTTTTTAAAAATTCTATTTCATTAAGCAAAAATGCAACTCAGAAGAATAATGTATATTAGCAGTCATTTACTATTTTTCAATTAAATTCCGATATATATGTAAAGTAAATTATTACTAATATCAAACATAGTTTAAAGAATTAGTGACTATGTGCACTTGGATCTCCATATGTAATGTACTATCAGCATCTTCACAAACACAGTAAATTTTAATATGCAAGTAAAACTTATTTTACTAAACGATTACTCCTTCTATATTCATATTCCTAAACACATACAGTTTCTTAATGTAATTAAGTTTTTAACTAAAAAAAGGGAAATGCATTATTGAGGCGATAGGATTACTGGGTGGCTATAAACACATCTGCTGCACAGCTGACATTTATCTTCTACAATGAGCAATGACAATTTTATTTTTTAATAATCAGTATGGACTAATCCTGATGATTTTTTTTAACATTTTCAAATAGGGCTGCATATGGCTTAAAATTAATATATACATGTGTACCTATATAATATTCTTATTTATTAATGGACTTCCTACATAGCTCATATTGACGTTAGATTTAAATGAAATTCCAGAAGGGTTTTCTATAGGTAAGTCATACATTGGATTTCCATATTACCTATGATTATTGAAGTATTTATTTCTGTTTTTAAGACTTCAGAGCAATTTTGCTGGTCATTTGTTTTCTGTGTTTTTATTTTGAAATTGTTCTTTGAGGCATTGTCCTATTACATTTTTAAGGTATGTTAATAAAATAATATTTTTAATGAAATTTTGCCTACTGCTTTCCAGGTGAACTCTTGTTTAAAGTATTAATTCACCAAAAATTACTTATATTCAGAAAATGAACTAAAAAAAATAATATGACGTGTTCAAGAAAGTCGAACAAAAGTTACGTGATGTTTGCAACATACACAACTCCATACCCTTCTCAAATAGTAAAGAGAATAGTAAATAGAATAGGTAGTAAGCAGAGTAGGAATTGTGGAATATGGAACTCTCAGTCACTCAACTGACTTTATTTTTTAGTAATACGGGATTTGAATTATTCAAGCTGAAGCCATTAAATATTCATAGTGCTTCGTATTATAAAGTTATTGATTAATGTCTTTGGTAAAGAACACTATTATTTCTGATTACATCAAGGTCATCCCGAGGAACAGGACCAAAGCATAAAGTTTTATATATGAAATATGAGAAGTTAATACATAATTCATATTTAACAGATAACATAAATGTTAACCCCTTGGCGAATCTGAAGCTAATACCCATGTTCTTCTGGCAATTCTTTATACTGGCAATTTGGAAAATGCCAGTGTTTTATCGCTACCTATTCTTGTATTATGACATGAATTAATACATATCTGCCTCACTATTCCTGTGGGCAAAAAAAGACTGTGAATTATGTGCCAGAGAGAGATTTTACAAAATTAAATGAGGCAAAGTACTTTTCCTCTGTATACTCATTAGAAATATGCTGAGTAGTTCCTTTCACTTTCCGATAAAATATAATCAGTTCAGCCATATAACAGATATCTTTTAAACTTTTAATGTCCTCTGTTAGAATGAATATGATATTTGGGACCAATTCACATTTTGGAATAATGTACATACTAAGCATAAGTGAAGAATTTAAACATTAACTTGATTTAGGACTGGACTCTTAAGAGGTTTTAAAAAGTTGAAAAACGGAATTCCAACAAATTTAAATGGCTTGTTTAGGGTTTCCACAGGCAATACGGGTGGGTGCAATGGAAAGAGAATTCCTTTAATCTAAACGTGGGCTTTATTCTGGCTCTGCCACATATTGACTGTTTCATACAAATGTAACTTAAACTGCAGGTGTCATGATTTTTCACACATATACAAATAAAACAATGTTGATTATATAGGATTTGTTGAGAAAATGCAATTATGCCAAGTACAAGTATTTGGCCTATTATCTCACTTTATAAATATTAGCAATTCTTTTTGTGGAGGGAATAAATCTAACATGCTGGCTTTTAGAATTTCTTCTTATTTTTCTTTCAACTTTATTGCCATGTAACATTTTTAAGTCAATAAATCTGACAATTAGACTGTGGGTAATTTTCTTCCAAATCCATATCTTGTTTTCTCTATCAATAGTAGCATTTTAAAACAACAGAAGGGAACTTTAATTACAGTAGGTTGGGAGCCATTTTCTCCCTTTGGTCATATTTTCATTGAAATTCCTACATTGTTTAATATTAGGACTTAGTTTGAATATCACATCAACAAGGTTGCTCAATAGAAATATTATGGAATCATTTTTCTGTCATGCCACAGAACTTATTAACTGTATGTTCAAAATGCAGCTCAATTCTGATCATTTTTGCTACTTTCACCACTAGCATCCTGGTGCTAACCACCATCATTTATTGCCCAGGTTATTGAAATGGCCAGCAAACAGGTGTTTCTGATTCTGCGTAAGGCACCCTTCAGTACATCCTCAAAAGAGCAATTTGTATAATCACTTTAAAACATGTATCAGGTTATTACCTTTTTCTGTGTAAAACTCTGATCTCTCGTTTCATTCATTGTAAAAGTCAGAATCTTGCACAATGCTTTATAGATGCTCCACCACATGAAGCCCCCAATTCTTCTATGGACTTCCCTCCTTCCACTATGTAATTTTCTCACTCAGCTTCACGTACAGTATTTTCTTGGTTATTACTAAACATGCAACAGATACGGTTTGTTCTATATCTTCCTCATGCTTTTGGTCAGATGCCATTATCCCAGTGAAGTTTTCCATAGCCACTTTATTCAAATTCCAAACAATCTGTCCCCTTAGACATTCTCCATTCTTAATTTTTTGCCATTGTACTTACTACAGTCTAACACACTATACATGTTACATTTTTGCTTATTGTTTATTGTATAGTCCCTAGAATATTAGTTCCCTGAGGACAGAGATTTCTGTAAGCTTTTCCAAAGATGTATCCCCAAAGCCCGGAATGCTACCTGGCAACAAATACTTGTTATAATGAATTAGAAGTGGGTAGATTCACACATCAGAGACAGCGTAGTGTATATAATGATTTTTTAAAGCATTAGAGTCATAGATATTAGGATTTGTATTATGTCTTCACCATTTACAATTATGCTACCCTCAACAAGTTGTTTAATCTTTCCATTCCTCAGTTTCCTCATGACTCATATATTGGAAATATTGTCTACCTTAGAGCTCTTCCAAGAGTAATATTGAGACAATGTTTCAACAATGTTTAGCACATTGCTGAATATTAATACATTATTTCTATTAATGTAAGAAATTTCATAGACTTGCTAGAAATAACGAGGATGGAATATAGATGAAGATCATAAAACATGATGGAAATAAATGTTGGAAAATGTGGGTGGTATCCTTAGCACACTCTCTAACGTAAGGAGTAAAATCTGTGTCATATGACTTTATCTTTCTTCTGGAAACTAACAGAATTTAGTAACACACTTTTCTTGACCTGAGGATTTGCCCTTACCACAAAATTGTTTTTGAAACTTGAGTGTTTACAATGGCTTTTTACCAGTTCTTTTATGTTCTACCAGTTCCTCTCCAATTTACTATGGACTGAAGTCACACTAATTTGTTAAGAGCAAACAAAACAAAACAAAACAAAACAAAACAGTTATTACCTCATTCTAGCCTCAAAGCATCTGCCTTTTCAATGCAATCAAAATTAAATGCAATCAAAATTAAATGCAATCAAAATTAAATGCACAATTCTAATTTTGATGACTTTAGTCCCTGCTTATCTGTTATATTAGGCTGTTCTTGTATTGCTATGAAGAAATATCTGAGACTGGATATTATAAAAATGTTTAATTGACTCACAGTCCTGCAGGCTGTACAGGAAGCACAGTGGCATCTTCTTCTGGAGAGGCCTCAGGGAGCTTTTACTCATGACAGAAGGCAAAGCAGGAGCAGGCACTTCACATGGTGAAAGCAGGAACAAGAGAGAGAGAGTATGTTGGGGTAGGTGCACTACCATGGAGACAGCACCAAGTCACGAAGGATTCGACCTCATGATCCAAACACTTCCCACCAAGCTCCACCTTCAGCACTGGGGATCTGGTTTCAACATGAGATTTGGGCGGGACATCCAAACTATATCAGCTGTCTCCCTCATCCAAGACCATGTGATCCGTAGCTCACTTTTGTCTAGCAACAGATTAAATACAGCATTTTCTGTGTGATATCTTTGTTGAGGTCTTTGCAGATGGCTGTTTCTTTGTCCTGAAACTTTCTTCATCTGCTCTTTCAAAATGAGTGACTCTTCATCCTCGAAGTCTATGCTTATATATTGCTTTTCAGAGGAATCTTTTCTGAACTGGGCATTCTGCCTTCAACCAACTATTTTCTATTATAGTTTCCTGTTTGTGAGTTAATAGTCCTTTTGAAAATTTGACTACTCATTTACCTTCTTGGGTTATTTGAAATTATCTCCTCTTCACTAGATTCTATAGAAGCATAGCCATGCCTGCCCTCTTTACTGTTTCTCTACTGACTTGTTGCAATGAATATTGTCAGTAAACATGGAAATAAATCAGTTATTCAGATATCCTACCTTGGTGCTTGCTTAGATAACTCCACACTGTGATGCCTAATGACCTACACAGGGCTTTCTAGCAAGGAGTGACTTTCTTTCTGCTACGTGTAATAATGATCCATCAACTTAAACATATAGTTATATTTCCAGCAGACGGTTTCTTGAAACTAATGTCCAGGGTGTAGTTATTCAAAAAAGCAAACTCTTCTCTTGATTTCTGCCATACATTGGTACTCTTTCTCTCTCCCTTTTTTATTTTATTATTTTTTTTTTGAGACAGAGTCTCACTCTTTCACCCAGGCTGTGGTGCCATCCCAGCACACCCTGCAACCCATTGCCTCCCAGATTCAAGCGATTCTCCTGCCTCAGCCTCCCTAGTAGCTGGAATTACAGGCATGTGCCACCATGCCTGACTGATTTTTTGTATTTTCAGTGGAGACGGGATTTCACCATGTTGTTCAGGCTGGTCTCAAACTCCTGACCCCTAGTGATCCATCTGCCTCAGCCTCCTAAAGTGCTGGGATTACAGGCGTGAGCCACCCCGCTCGGCCTACTCTTTTATTTCTGTTTTGTCTTTCCTTTCTCAAGAAAGAAAACAAACCAAAACCAAAACAGTTTGGAAGACTTTATAGTATTCATCCATACAAAAGAACAAGATCATGTCCTTTGCAGGAACATGGGTGGAGCTGGAGACCATTATCCTCAGCTCCACCCATCCTCAGCTCCCACTAACGCAGGAACAGAAAAACAAATGCAGCATGTTCTTATTTATAAATGTGAGCCAAGTGATAAGAACACATGGACTCATAGAGGAGAACACCACACACTCGGACCTACCTGAGAGTAGCGGGTGGGAAAAGGGAGAGGTTCAGGAAAAGTAACTAATGGGTACTAAGCTTAATACCCGGGTGACAACATAACCTGTACAACAAATCCCCATGACACGAGTTTACCTGTATAACAAACCTGCACGTGTACTCCTGAACTTAAACTAAAAGTTAACAAAAGGCCAGGTGCAGTGTTTCACGCACGTAATCCCAGCACTTTGGGAGGCTGACATGGGTGGATCACCTGAGGTCAGGAGTTCAAGACCAGCCCGACCAACTAAATACAAAAAGTTAGCTAGATGTGGTGGCAGGTAATCCCAGCTCCTCTGGAGGCCAAGGCAGGAGAATCGCTTGAATCCAGAAGGCAGAGGTTGCAGTGAGCCGAGATTGTGCCACTGCACTCCAGCCTGGGCAATAAGAGTGAAACTCTGTCTCAAAAAAAAAAAAAAAAAAAAAAAAAGTTAACAAAACGTTCTTCTCTAGTTCTAAAGCACCAACACAGAGGTGATCAAAATACTCTAAGAAGCACTGGGAAACATTGAGGGGATGGTTCAAACATCAGAGCTAAGGCCTAATTTCCCAACAGTCATTATTTCTGTGGTATTTTGCATATTAGAGACGTATAGGTTCCTCACCTAATCCTTGTTTTTTCATTTTATTTTTAATACATATGAAAGTCATAATAACAAAAAAAATTCATACATCAGCAGCTCAGCTAGAAATAAAAGTCTCAATCTACTGGAAGCCCCTGTGAACTTGTATCAAATTCCTTTCTCTCTTCATAGAGGAAATAATGACTCCCAAAATGTGGTAATGAACAAATATCTCTAATTGTTTAAAATTTAGTATATGTGCAAGTCTCCACAGACACAATCATGATCATATATTTTTAGAAGTTAAAAACGTGTCTATCATCAGGGCGTGGTGGTTCATGCCTGTAATCCCAGCACTTTGGGAGGCCTAAGTGGGTGGATCACCTGAGGTCAGGCGTTCAAGACCAGCCTGGCCGACATGGTGAAACCCTGTCTCTACTAAAAATACAAAAGTTAGCCAGGCGTGGTGGAGGGTGCCTGTAATCCGAGCTACTCAGGAGGCTGAGGCAGGAGAATTGCTTGAACCCGGGAGGCGGAGGTTGCGGTGAGCCAAGACCACGCCACTGCACTCCAGCCTGGACAACAGAGCAAAAACTCCGACTCAAAAAAAAAGTGTCTATCTACCTTCTGCTTTATTTTGTTTTATATGACATTGATGATGTCCATCTATGTTGGCCCATATAATTCTTATCAATTATTTTAAATGCTGTTTAGCATTGTACTATATAAAAATATCAAAACACAGCTCCCTTTTGTTCATTATATTGCCATTTAGTTTTTTTCTCATTTTTTGCTATTTCAACAAAAAGCTGCTATGAATGTGTATGTGTGTATATATATATTAAATGTGTATATATATGAATGTATATATATATACACATATATATGTCAGAGTTTCTCTAGGCTATAAACCCAGGAACAAAATTTAAAAATCATAGGGTGTATTGGATCTTACATCACTGCAGACCCTCTCAGCATTACCTCTTGTTCCAGTCAGAGCCTTGGTTACTATTTTTATGTAGACTTTGGTCAGTTTCATAAAGATGGAAGTGATAGTATGTGGCTTCAGACCAGAGCAAGAATTCACTTTCTGCTGTGGGATTTCTCAGACAATGTTGTGTGGATTGTTGTAGGCATTTTGCTTGTTACTCATAAATGCACTGTCTAGACACATCGAGAAGTTAGCATCCATGAGGCTATGCTTGAAAAATGGAACTCCTAGAGCTGATGGATACATATTTCCCCCGTTGTTTCACTTCAGTGAATGGTCATATAGTATTCCATCACCTAACTTAATAATGTGTTCTAGATTTTACTCTCTCTCCCTATAGCACCCATCCTGTTTCTTATTCTTACTCCACAATACACTCCCAACTTAAACACACAGTCTCTTCTTTAGGTGTTGGGGGTTGGGAGTTATTACAAGATGACATGGTGTATGCATTTATTTCTTTGTCTACGTTGATTGCACTGATTTACAGTCTCACCAGCAGTTCATAAAATCCTTCCTTGCAGCTAAGATATGGGCACAAGACTAAAATTTATATCTTTAGCTGATATCTCATTCCTGAACACTCATCTCATTTGCGACTGCCTTGAATATCAAATAGGCATCTCAACCTTAGTAAGTAAAAGAGAATTCTTTATCTGCATCCTGCCAATCCTGCTTCTTTCCCAGTAATTTTTCACTCAGTAATTTGAGCCATTATTAATCTATTTTCTAAAGCTTCAAAACATGGAGTCATTACCAGCTGTTTTATATACACCATTCCAAGCCATTAGAAAGTCAATTCCATTTCACCTGGAAGTTTATTGCAAATTTGACAATTGTCTCTTACATGAACTACTAAAATAGCTTCTCAGCAGCATCTGTGTGCTGCCATTATCCATCCTTCCTCCAGTCTCTTCCCCACCAGGCAATGGAAGTCATCTCTGGCAATATAATGCATTTCACATTAGTTTCATTTTTCCAGCTGAAAATCTCAAAAGTATTTCATTTACATGCCTAATAAAAGCTAAAGATATAATCTTGCTCAGAACTATAAGCTGGCTTCTCCACCTACCATTATCCTTTGCCTTGATTACTCTGCTCTATATCATCATCTTGCATACCCTAACACATGACTTTTATACTCATTGCTCCATCTGTTATAAACATACTGATAAATAATGTTTCCTCTTTAGCAGTGATTTCCTGATCTAATCAATATTTTGGTATCATATAAACTCATTGGATTATTAGTGATTATCACTAACCTGCTATCATACAATACACATTTAATTTCTTTTCTCTTTGTTTATTGTCTAAACTGCTAGGTAGAAGGGCACTTTATCTATTCTTATCACAAACGTAGGACAACGGCTAGCACAAGGTTAGGAACTTACACGCTATTCGATTAATTGTTGTTTAATAATTGATTAAAAACTCCAGAACTTTGGGTTCCATTCTTATGATGACAATAATATAATGCTAGGGATGCCAAGTGAATAGCAAGTTTAACCAAGTTATCCTGTATGGGGAGCCACAGTTACTTAAAATGTCTGACAATCCACAGTCCTGGTGATGATGTGGAATATCACTCTCTTAATCAATGCAAACAATTTATTTAATAGTCATAGTGCTAAAGATGGCATGCCCTCCAAATGAGCAATTGCACTCTTGGTTATGCATTTATATGAATATGTATATAGGAATAGTCATGATAAAACTACTAATTATTATAAAATTTTTGGAAAAAGCATAACTATTAAAAATGAAATTGGTAACTTAAGACTACTCAATACATCAGTAAAAATGAATGAACTAAGCAAAAACATGGATGAATTTCAAAAACGAAATTTATTTTCATTATTTATTAAGAAAGAAAATTTGCACTGTTTTCAAGTCTAATACCAAACAGAACTAAATGGTATTTCTGGATAAACAAATTAGAAAATAAAATTATGAAAAATGCAAGAAAAAAATTACCACAAAAGTTGGGATAGAAGTTACATTAAGAGATGGCATGGTCTTATACAAAGAAAACCCTAAAGACTCTGAAAGACTCCTAGACTTGGCAAAAGACTGCAATAAAGTTTCAGAATACAAAGTCAATGTCCAATAGTCAGTAGTATTTCTATATAGCAATAATATTCAAGCTGAGAACAAAATCAAGAACTCAATCTCATTTACAATAGACACACACACACACACACACACACACACACACACATAACTGAGAAATACGTTTAACCAAGGAGGTAAAATATTTCTACAATAAGAACTACAAAAGATGGGTGGAAGAAACCTGAAATAAAACAAACTAATGGAAAAATATCCCATGTTCATGGATTAAAAAAAATTAAAAATGACCATGGTGTCCAAAGCAATCTAAAGATTCAGTGCAATTTCTATCAAACTACCAATGTCATTTTTCACAGAATTAGAAAACAACAATCCCAAAGTGTATATGAAATTCTGAATTGAAAAAATGACCCAGATAGCCAAAGCAATTCTAAGCAAAAAGAACAAAGCTGGAGTCAGCACTTCACCCCATTTCAAATTATACTACAAACCTATAGTAACAAGAACAGCATGGTACCAATACAAAAACAGATACATAGTTTAATAAAATTAAATAGAGAACCAAGAAATAAAGCCACATACCTACAACCAACTAATCTTCAACAAAGCGTGCACAAATAAACAATGTGGAAAGGATACCTTTTTCAATAAATTGTACTAGAAAAAATGGATATCCGTATACACAAGAGTAAAACTGGATTCCTATATCTCACCATATATAAAAATTAACTCAAGATTGATTAAATACTCAAATGTAAAAACCTATACAATTCCTAGAAGAAAACCTAGGAAAACTTTACTGAATATCAGCCTTGACAAAGAATTTATGACTAAGTCATCAGAAGCAAATGAAACAAAAATAATAATAGGCAAATGGGACCTAAGTAAACTAAAAATCTTCTGCACAGCAAAGGAAATAATCAACAGAGTAAACAGGCAACCTACAGAACAGGAGAAAATATTCACAAATTATGCATCTAACGAAGTACTAATATCCAGAATCTACATGGAACCCAATAAATAATAAACACATTATGTCATTACAAAGTAGGCAAATGACATAAACAAACATTTATCAAAAGAAGACATGCAGGTTGCCAACAAACATTAAAAAATACTCAAGATCACTGATGATCATAGAAATGTAAATCAATATTGAAGTGTGTATTAGTCTGTTCTCATGCTGCTATGAAGAAATACCCGAGACTGGGTAATTTATAAGGAAAAGAACTTTAATGGACTAACAGTTCCGTACGGCTGGGGAACATTCAGGAAACTTACAATCATGGTGGAAGGGGAAGCAATCAAGTCCTTCTTCACATGGCAGCAGGAAGGAGAAGAATGAGAGCCGAGCAAATGTGGAATCCCCTTATAAAACCATCAGATCTTGTGAGACTCACTCACTATCACAAGAACAGCACGGAGGGTAACCGCCCTCATGATTCAATTACCTCCCACCAGGTGCCTCCCATGACACATGGGGATTATGAGAACTAAAATTCAAAATGAGATCTGGGTGGGGACACAGCCAAACCACATCAAAAAGTGATTCATTTGACATGGTCTTCCCTATCTTCTCTCATTTAGGGTAACATTATTTCCTTGAATCAAAAGGGTATCCCTGTAGACTTTGAGTTCATCTTGACATCTTTGAACCATGGATTATCAATTTGCAAATGTTATTTGTTGAATTATTGAGCTATATTCCTTGACATGCTTTTAAGAATGATATTTTCATTAAAATAAATGAGGGACTCATCCTAATATTTAGGAAGATTTCTCAACATCATCACATACAATTATGAATTATTATGGACACAACAGTGGTAGTTTGGATTTTTATTGTGGTTAAACTTTTAGAAAGTACAAAGTATTCATAAATCTACATTTTAATATTTTATAATTCAAATGAATTTTAAGTAACTATTTTGATATTCTATAAATAAAAATGTCACCTATACTATATAAGGATTCACTCACTTCTCTCTGCATTCTCATCAATACCTGATGTGTTGTGACTTTTAAAAACTAGCCATTCTGACTAGTATAAGGTGACATTTCGTTGTGGTTTTAATTTTTATTTCTCTGATGATGAGACTGAGCATTATTTCATATGTTTGCTGTCCACTAGTATGTCTTCTTTTGAGAAATGCCTGTTTATGTACTTTGTCCATTTTTTAATGGGGTTATCTATTTTGTTGTTGTTGTTGAGTTGTTTGAATTTCTTGTCGATTCTGGATATTAGTACTTAGTTGGATGCATAGTTTGCAAATATTTTCTCACATTCTTCAGGTTATCTGTTTTCTCAGTTATTTCTTTTGCTGTGCAGAAACTTTCTTGTTTAATTAAGTCCCATTTGTCTACTTTTGTTTTTGCTAAATTTGCTTTTGAGGTCTTAGTCACAAATTTTTTGCCAAGGCCAATGTCTAGAAGAGTTTTTCCAGGTATTCTATGAGTACTTTTATATCTTCAGGTATTATATTTAATTCTTCAATTCATCCTGAGTTAATTTTGTGGATGGCAACAGATAGGGGCCCAGTTTTATTCCTCTGCATGTGGCTTTCCAATTTTCCCTGCACTATTTATTGAAGGGGATATCCTTTTCCCAGTGTATGTTTTTTTCAATGTTGTCAAACATCCATTGACTGTAGGTAGGTCCCTTTATAAATATCCACTAATAAAGTGACAAAGTGCCTTTGTCACTTTATTCCTGGAATTTCTATTTTGCTCTATTGAGTATTGTGTCCATTTTTATATCACTATCATATTGTTTTTGTTACTATAGCCTTATAGTATAATTAGAAGGAATGTAAATTTGTCCCACCTCTATTAAAACAGTATGAAAATTTTTTCAAGTATTAAAGAGCCACAATTCACTCTATCAATCCTATACTGGGTGTATACCCAAAAGAAAAAATATCATTATACCAGAAAAGATATTTGCACTCATTTATTTATAGCAGCAATATTCATAATACCAAAGATATTGAATCAACATGTGTCCATCAACAAATAACTGGATAAAGAAAATGATGTGATATACATATATACATATATACACACACATACACGCACAATGAATACTACACAGCTATAAAAAATAACATCATTTCACTTGCAGCAATATGGAAGGATAATTTTACACTTTATGTCTTAGTCTGTTTTGTGCTGCTGTAACAAAATACCTGAGACTGGGTAATTTATAAAAAATAGAAAATTATTTTCTGATAGTTCTGTAGGCAAGGAAGTCAATGATCAAGATACCAGCATGTAATGAGGGCCTTCTGTTGCACTCTCAGATAGCATTAGTTTAAATGGCAAGAGAAAGGCAGAACTCTATTTGAGAGGGCTGTTGCAACCTTACAGCATGATACATCTTGTGAAATATGGTTTTGAACATTTTTATTAAAAATGTAGGCATCAAAATCTCTACCATTTGTGTCATGTTATAATAATAACTATAAAACTGCATTATTCAGAATATGTAACAATAAAAATTAATATTAAAAAGTTTTAAAATGTATTTGCTTTTGCATATATCGTTTCTATTGATCATAACAACCAGATGTGATAACCAGGGCCAGATATTTCTACTGTTATCATTAGAAATCAAAGAAAACTAACATATTGGATGGTTTTAAAAATTATAAAAATTGTAAGTGTACATATAAATATTAACTTGTAAGTCATCTTGCAAGTATTATAATCAGATTTCATTTTCAAATCGTGATGAATCTAACATGATACCTAAGTTTGTATATTGAACAATGTGTATACATGTGCACACACTTTTAATTTATATTTTTCTCATTCTGAGTGATAATGCAGCAAAATTTAAAGAGATTACACTATAATTATGTTTAAAATCTTACTTGTACTTTTGAAACAAATCACAGGTTGAGTCATGATAACAGGACAAAATATACTTAGCTGCTGAATATAAACAAAGTATACAGAAGCGTAAATCTTGCGAGCACAAAAGTGTTAAAAACAGCAAGATCTAGAGGCTCAAGTACAAGAGAGATATATTATACCAAGAGCAGTAATCTCAAAAATTTATATCCCAAATGTGTAGACTTGATCTTATTTTCAGTCAGTGTGTTCTGTATGGAAGATGAACATGCTCCTGACAACGGAGTATGATTTAGAAAACTATATCCTGCACAGAGGGATATAAAATGTGATTATATACTGCACTTCTGTGCAAAATTTTAAACAGAATTTAATCAATCACTTTGAAACCTAGATGTATTTGTGGAACAATGACATCACTTTGAAATTATGTGTAGTTTGTAAATGCACAAAATTAATAATGTATTTTGTGTAAATGGATTACTTTGGAAAGAAACTCATAAGAACTACATTATCAGACAAAACATTCTTTGAAAATGTGTGTGCTACAAGGCAATTTGCCATTTCATTTTAATAGAATGTTCCATGCTGAAAATGTCTAACTGCTCAGAAGTGGAATAGGAGTGTAAATTTATTATCTGAGAAAAGAAAATTAATTGACACAGGCCAAAAATGTAATGGAATTAGACCCATGTGCCTTAGTGAGAACTTAGGAACTCGATCTGGGCTCTATGGAGTGACAAAATTATGCAAAAAAAAAATGAAGTATGTCATTTTTGCACAAAGCTCAGGATTTCTCAAAGGAATATTACATAAAATAATGAAGTCTCCTTTATCTCCAAGACAGTCCAGTCTTAGAACGCAATGGAACATGCCATTTGAAATAAAAAACAAATTTTGTTTTTGTTTTGTTTTGTTATGTTTGGTGCTATTTTAAGTATTTAACATTCATAAAGAGAGAATTAGCAATTAATGAGATAAAGTTTAAAAAAAATCGAGATCAGGACAAGGTAAAAAAAAATCATTCAGTCTTGCAAATCTGTTATTTAATAGGTCATGTTTTAAGAACTGGGAATACAGATACTACGTGTATTTTAAATAGAAAATTTGAAATGTACAAGAAGTCATTTTTAAATATAGTCACTCTGCTATAAAGTCAATCTCTAAAACTCAATCTTTGTGTCTAACTGAAACTGTACCCTGTGAACAACATCTCCCCATTCCCTATCCCTTGCCTCCAGCATTAACTAGCATTCTACTCTCTACTTTTAAGGGTTTGCCTTTTTTCGATTGCTAAAAAGTCTATTTTCAGTGTTCTCACAACAAAAAGATAAATATGTGACATAAGAGATGTGTTAAGCAGCTTGATTTAATCATTCCACAATATAAATATATACGAAGACATAATACTGTACCCCTCAAAACAATTATTATTTGTTTATTTAAAACATTTAAAAACAAAAAATGAGACAAATATCAGGAAAGTAATTTTATACATAAGCTAGATAATTGCCTATAGCTGCGTATGCTGTGAAATAATTTCTGTTTGAAAAGACAGGAAAAATTATATGGCAAAACCATAGTGCAGTAATAAATTTGCCATGTTTAGTAAACAAAATATAGTTCAATGTGACTGAAGCATACCAAGAGGCAGAAGAATGTGGTGTACACTGTAGTGTAGAGGAGTGTCTTAGTTTGGGCTGCTATACAAAATACCATAGATTGAGTGGCTTACAAATAACAAAAAAAGTATTTCTTACTGTTCTAGGGGTTGGAAGTCCAAAGTCAGAGTGCCAGGATGTTCTGGTTTTGGGGAGGGCCCTTTTGCGGTTGCAGACTGTTGGGTTTTTGTATAAGCACATGGGGAAAGAAGTGAGAGCTCTCTTAGGTCCCTTTTATAAGAACACTAAGCCTATTCATGAGGCCTCTACTATGACAACCTAATTACCTCCTGAAGGTCCCACTACTAATACCATTACATTGACAGTTACGATTTCAATATACAGATTTTGAGGGTACACTTTAAAAATTCAGTCCGTAACATTCTGCCCCAGGTTCCCCAAAATTCATGTCTTCACATGCAAAATGCAGTCATTCCATTCCAACAAATCCACAAATCTTAACTCATTCCAGCCTCAAGTCCAGTCTAAAGTCCAAGGTCTTATTTAAATATTACCTAAATCAGATGCAGGTGAGCTTCACGGTACAGTTCATTCTCACAAAATTTCTCTTCATCTGTGAACCTGTGGAATCAAACAACATGAACTCTCAAAATACAATGGTGAGACAGGCATAGGATAAACATTCCCATTCCAAAAAGAACCACTATTCGAAAAAAATAAAATATATGAATGCTGGATCCCAAGTAAATCTAAAACCTAACAGGGCAAACTCCATCAAACCCTAAGGTTCAAGAAGCATCCTCTTTGGCTTGATGACTCACCTTCCAGACAGTCCCCGACAGCTCAGTGAGGCACTGCTCGCTGCTGACTCTATGCACTGGACCCACTTATGGCACAGTCTTTTGTCAGGGCTGAGGTCACTCACCCAGGGCTTCACTGGATGGCCCTCCCACACAGCTCCTCTGAGCATCATTTCTGTCCTTTGAAATCAAAATGGAGGTAACCTTGGCCCACCTTGCCATACCCTCTGGATTTTTGGTAAAAGCAGCAGCTGTAATTGTCTCCAAATCCCCTTTGCGCCCCTTCTTCCGTAATTTTGAAGGAGAGAATAGCACACATCCACAACTGAATAGCTCTCGGGTCCGGGCCTGTAGGGCTTAAGCATTCCGAATGTCTTCCTTTATTTCGTCCCATTATCTCTGTTTCCTTTAGTCCCAACTGGCAGTGTTTCTCCTGGTATAATCCCATTTCTAGTCATGGTTTGTGTTGAGATGTTTGATTAAGCCTGTGGTTCACACCCATATTAATCAAATCAGTAAGGGTCCGAAACACTCTTCATGTTCTCTTCAGAACACACTTTCTCACTTTTTTTGCAATATGGACAGGCTGAGAATTTCCCAGATCTTAAATTATGGTTACTTTTTCCTTAACAATTCCATCTTCAAACCTTTTTCTTTTTCTACATTTGACTCTACGGATTCAGAAGGAACCAAGCTGCTGCTTCTACATGTTGCTGAGAAATCTGCTGGGTTAAATGTCCAATTTCACTGCACACAAGTTCCACCTTCCGCAAAACACAAGAGCATGAATACAATTCAAAGAAGTTTGTTTCCACTTTTCAACATGGATTGCTTTTGCTCCATTTTCCAATAACATTTTCATTTCCATTTGAGACTCCAACAGAATGACCTTTACTGTCCATATTTTATCAATATTCTGTTCATGATTATTTAATTATTTTCTGAGAAGACAGCGTTTTCTTCTATATTTCTTTCCGAGCCCTCACGAGAATTGGCTTTTAAATTTCTTCCACAGTAATCTAGCATTTTGCATAAAACCTCATCAATCTCTGCCAATCACTGAGCCCAAAACCATTTTCACTTTGTTTTAGGTATTTATAATAACAGCACTCCCACTTCTCATGATCAATTTCCATCTTCAGCCGTTCAGGCTGCTTTAATAAAGTTCCATAACCTGAGTGGCTTTTAAATAACGGAATGCACATCTCACAGTTCTGGAGGCTGGAAGTCCAACAGCAGAGTGCCAGCATAATTGGGTTCTGGTGAGAGAGCTCTCTTGGGTTTCAGACTGCTGCCTTCTCAATGCAGCTTCACATGGTGGACAGAAAGAGCTCTCAAGAGTCATTTTTAAGGGCACCAATCTAATTTATGAAGCCTCCACCATAATAAGCTAATTACTTCCCAAAGTTCATTATAAATATGCAGCTTATAGGTCCTGCTACCATCATACTGAAGGTTAAGTTTTCATCACATGAATTTTGAGGGGACACAACATTCAGTTGCAACAAAAAATACTCAGTGGTTTTTAATTACAATATTGATTATGTAAATACAGAATAAATTTTAGCTCTAAACATTATCCATGATGTGATTAATTAAATTACTAGTTTAAAAAATTGAATCTGTAATTTATCTTGCCTCTATAATTATTATAAGAACTTGTAAACTTTTAACTTGTTTTCTTTAATTTGACCATTTCTGAAATTGTATCTCTAAGTATTGATATATACACTTCCTAGTGCATATAAAAGTTATGCATATTTAGAGTAATAAGTAGTGTGTTATCATGTTTTTATATCAGGGCAGGAAGGGAGAAGTTGAAGAACAAAGTGTCCTTTTCAACAACTTCAGCCCACGTATCTTTCTACAGGACTATAACATGTCACCAGCCACAAGGGCAAGGAGACTGGGCATTGTAGTTATTTGGCAGGACACATTGCTCTTTCAAACAAAAATGGCATTCAGAAACAAGAAAGTAGGGAAGAGAGGTTTTGGTTGGACAACTTGCATTGTTGTCCCTTCTTTTCTTAGACTTCCAAATTCTTGGTTTCAGAATTCTTTATAAGGTTACCCCTCTGAGTAATTTTATCGGTCCATTAAATCTCCCAAGTCCAGGTCCCCAAGCTCTTCTCAACTAGTATGACAGCAACTTGTATAGAGATGTCAATGCAGTACAAATGCTTGTTTTAAAGTTGTTTTAATCCAGCTTCTATCATTCTAAATATTGTTTTAATCCAATATTCTAATTCAGAATATTGAGAATAAACTAATCTTACATGAAATATCTTTTTTCTCCTATTATTTGATATGTGTGTCTATAAAATAACATTTTCTAATTACAGAATGTGCAAGCAAAAAACAAAAAGGGCCTGTGTCCCTAGTCCCATTTTCTTGCTTGGAGGTAACATCCACAACATTTTTAGTTTTCTGTTGTTCTTCTCTAATGCTCCCAATAATATACCTTTGTTGTGGTTATTGTTGTTATTATTGCTCTTGCATCAAGCACTATCTCTTAGTGCTCATGCACGTCCTTACCGAGGTCCATTTCTTTACTCTCTGCCCCATTCCAAGTTGTGTTAGGTAGAGGATTATACTGATCAAGTCCTGTTTTTAGCTATCTTCATAACATTAACACTTTAAACCTCAATGTCTTCACTGTTCTACTGTCCTATGAGCTCTAGCAATCTCAAGTTTCATGTCACTTCTCAGACTATGGCAATGGTAATCTGCATTAATGGCAAAATCATTAATATTGATGAAAATTTTTATTTTCTGCCCTTCCCAAAATCATCTACTTCTTTGGAATTTACATTAGCAGGCAACAATGGCAGTGGCAATACTACCTTTTGGAAGGTAACTGTAGCTCCACCCTTATCTGTAAAAAGATATGTATTAAGACCCCCAGTTGATGCCTGAAACAGTGGATAGTAAACATGTACTATTTTTCCTACACATACATACTTATAATAGACTGTAATTTAAAAATTAGGCATAGTGAAATTTAACTAATAATTATAGTAGTTTATTAGTTAAACTACTACTAATTATTATAGTAGTAGTATTTGTTTAAACTAATATACTCATTATGGGAGTAGTATTAAACTAATAGGCTAATTATATTAGTTTAATAATTCTATTAGTTTATTAGTTAAACTAACACTACTAATGATAATAGAATTATATTAGTTATACTAATATATTATGTATAGGAGTAGTATACTTCTATAATTATATAGGAATATAATTATATTCCTTTTACTAATAATTATATGAACATAACTAATAATAGAATTATTATAACAATATACTGTAGTAAAAGTTATGTGAATGTGGTCTCTCTTTCTCTTGAAATACCTTATTATTATCTACTTTTCTTTTTGTGATAAAGAAAACAGGGAGTAGGATGGACAACCTGAGAATTTATCACGTTATGGTACACAATTTCAAAGTTATTATTTCTATAACTTTTATTTAATATTTTTCAAAACATGATTGACCCCTGATAGCTAAAACTGGGGAAAGTGAAACCGCTGGTAAGGGGGGACTGCTGTGTTGCTAAAAGTGTCTTCCTTTGCTAAATGTACCAAGAGTAGATTCTCAAGAGGAGTAACATAGATAGGAATTTACGTTGTAGATGGCCTCAGCTATTGCTAAATATCTACAAATTCACTTGGGAATAATATAAGCAGCCACATCAGCAACAATATCTTGAGTAATATTGTTAATGGAGCATCAGGAATTAGGGCTTTGCAATTATGAGATACATTTTTCCAAAGACATGATGCAAACATCCTTAGCAGTAGAAGAAAAAAGTTGAATTCCAACTCTTTGTCAAGAGGCATTTTTGGGAATTGTTATTATATCCAATTTTCGCCCAGGATTATGTGGCATGATAAATATGCCTTACAATAACTTAGTTAAGAATATTATAGGTAATACATATTTCATCACCTTAAGAAATGTGAATGGCTGTTTGGAGGTATATTAACATCATGTAGATGGAGGCTCAAGACTGCTGAGATAAAATTGAATACATTTAGAAAGACTGATGGCATATTTTCCTGAAGAGAATCTTTAGAAAACCAAAGAGTTAATGTCAGGTTTTCATATGTCTTAGTAGTCTGAATAAAACCTGTTAAATAATTTTTCCTGGAAGAAACATATTACTATTTAATTTTCAAAAAGTGATATTAATAGTTAATTATCCAGTTATCTGGACTTTTTCCAAAAGAGTTTATCTATAAAGAGCATCTACTCTATGAAATGTAGAAATAAACTCAAAGGATAGTAAATCAGTATTCAGTCTGTAAATATTACCTCACTGTGTCCATGACATTTGTGAACTTAGTAACCAAATTTAAGGATTTAATGTGTTTGCTTGTTGTTAACATATATGGAGAGAGAAAAATAAATGGATGAATTTTCAGAATTTATCTAATTTTCTCCTCCATCAAAGTTAAAAATTAGCTGTTTGATTTCCTATACTGAGCTAAAATTCTCTGGCATTTTATCTTGATATTACTGACATCCTGGAAGGAGTATCTTGTTTGTTTGGCAAGTGGATTTTTTTAAAAAAATAAATTATTGCTTCATAATTTTTATTGTTTATATTTCAAGGTTATGAAAAATGCCCTTAAAAAATAGATGGTATATATATATATATATATATATATATATATATAAAATATATATTTTAATCTGCATGTAGTATACCTGTTGTGACAAAAATAAACGAAAGCTTAATTTCTTGCCAAGTTGTAGACTATTACAGTATATTATTTTAAGCGTTATGCTATACATACTTCTTTTGAAAATTTATGGAGTACATGAGATGTTTTGATACATGCATAATAATCACATCAGGGTAAATTGAATATCCATCACTTCACACAGTTATCCTTTGTGTTACAAACAATCTGATTATACTCTTCTAGTTATTTTTAAATGTACGATTAAATTATTTTTGACTATAGTCACCCTGTTGTGCTAGCAAATGCTAGGTCTTATTCATTCTTTCTAACTATGTTTTTGTACCTATTAGTCTGCCCCGCTTTCCTCCCAAACCCTCACTACCCTTCTCAGCCTGTTAACCTTTATACTGTTTATCTCCATGAGTTCAATTGTTTTAAGCCTTAGCTCCCACAAATAAGTGAGAGCATCCGAAGTTTGTCTTTCTGCGCCTGGCTTGTTTCACTTAACATAATGACCTCCAGTTCTATCCACATTGTAGCAGATGACAGGAACTCATTGTTTTTTATGGCTGAATGGTATTCCATTTTGTATATGTACTATATTTTCTTTATTCATTCATCTCTTGATGGATACTTAGGTTGATTCCAAATTTTGGCTATTGTGAGTAGTGCTGAAATAAACATGGAGTGCAGATATCTCTCTGATATACTATGTCCTTTCTTTTGGTTATACACCCAGGAGTGGGATTGCTGGATCATATGATAGCTCAATTTTTGCTTTTTGAGAAACCTCCAGACTGTTCTCCTTAAGGGTCATACTAATGTACATTCCCACTGACAGTGTGCAAGGGTTCCTTTTTCTGTATATCCTCGCCAACTTTTGTTATTGCCTGAATTTGGGATAAAAGCCATTTTAACTGGGGCCTCTTAACTTTTTCCCCACACATTTCTTAATTCCTTGATGAAAAATGCTAAAAGATAAGTCACTTTCATACTTCCTAGATACAGTTATTCATTCACTCTTTTATTTTTTTAAGTTTCTTATTTAATAGATATGTATTAAATATTTACCTTGTCTCAGCCAATGTAATGTGTGACAGGCATACAAAGATGAATATAGCAGAAAGTTTATGCCTCTTAAGAAGCATAATGAAGTCATTTAAACAAATAATAGCTACAAATTTTGATGAGCACTGTCATAGAGGTAAGAATATTATGGTGGGGTGGGATGGAAGAAATTAAAATATGTCAATCTACTTTGCGTTGTAAGGAAAATCTTGGCAAAGAAGATACATGTTATGATTTGGCTCTGTGTCCCCACCCAAATCTCAACTCGAATTGTAATCCCCATGTGTCATGGGGAGGGACCTGGTGGGAGGTGATTAGCTCAAAAGGGTGGTTTTCTATGCTGTTCTTGTGATAGTGAGGGGGTTCTCAGGAGATCTGATGGTTTTATAAGTGGCAGTTTCCCCTGCATGCTCTCTCTCTTACCTGCCACAGTGTAAGACTTGCCTTGCTTTCCCTTCACCTTCCACCATGATTATAAGTTTAATTATAAGTTCACTTATAAGTTCAGCCATGTGGAATTGTGAGTCAAGTAAGCCTCTTTTGTTTATAAATTATCCATTCTCAGGTAGTATCTTTATAGCAGTGTGAAATGGACTAATAAGATAAACTTCAATAGAATACTTAAGAAATTGTGGTAATCAACTAGTTTATGAATGGAAAGAATCATTTTATCAAAGGAAATTAAGAGCATAACAATGTGGCATTAAAACAGATTAGGGAGTTCTGAGGGTTGTAAGGATGATGGAACAGGTACATAATAGGACAATATGGGAGAATAATTAAAGAAGTCCTGAGGGTAGGTCACTGAGGCCTTATATGTTATAAAAGGGGGATTTTACTCTAGGAATTGGGAAAGTGTTTGAAGAAAGAGAATAGTGTGATTATATTTGCTTTTTAGTTTGAAAAGAAGTAGCCTGGAAATGAATGAGATTACAGCCAGAGAAGAGAAAGAATATATTTTGATGAAAGAATATATTTGGGTACTGATAGAATAGTCCGGGTTAAAGATGATTTGGACCCTGGCACATGGAGGATGCTGTGGGGTCATAAAGGAAGAAATGGTAATAAAAATAACTAAAGTTTTATTGGATGAAGTTTTCAAGCCAACAAAGCATAAAACACAGACACAAAAACGACGTCTAAAATGATTTCTTAGTTTCTTAGTCATGTATTAGGTGTCAACCAAGACAGGGAATACAGACAGAGCAGTAAAGAGTTCAGCCCCAGACTCAATCCTATATGTGATTTTTGGGCCCATCCATAAACAATGACAAAGACTTGACCAAGTGGGTCCCACAGGGAGAGCTGCCCTCCCCACACTAGTGCATAGTCCTCTAATGGCAGTTTCAGTAAGGGCTGCAGGGCCATGCTCACACACAGATCAGCATCACTTGACTGGTGCCTCCCCTGGAGGCCTCTCCACTGTGGGACCTTGGCAGACCTTCCCCAGGCATGTTTGCCCAAGACCTCCTTTTCATGGGGAGAGGAGGAGGAGTCTTGAAGACAATTGTCTTCCTTCTGATTCAATACTCAGTGCTTTTCCGCTCCCAGCCTTTTCCTGACCTTCCATAAAACTGCAGGCAGGAGCCTGTTGTTCAGGGTTCCTTTGATAGTGAGACAACTCCACATCTGTGCTGACCCATGTGATCCTTGATAGAGCTGTTTCATGAAGGAAAAAAAGGATGGGGACTGGACCGTCAGGGCTTTTTCCAGTTTAACCTCAAAGGTTTGTTAATGTCCTTTTGTCTTGATGTCTTAATTGCCTACTCCAACACCTGGCTCTCTCTCCAGAGTAGTTAAGCTCCTGATGGCTGGGGATAAATTTAATGACTACTGTTTTGTATAAGTTGAGGTTAATCTAATTAATTTACCTAGAGGGAAAATTCTGACCTCTATCTCTGAGACCTCATCTAAAACACAGAGGTCATGAAGATAAATCTGGCTTCTGCCTTCAAGGAGCTTACAGTCTGGTGAAGATGATAGCTGGATAGCTAGACATAACAATAAAACCACAGCTGTTCCCTTGTGATAATTTCTGTTATGAGTTATGTACAGTGGAATATGAAAAATATATAAATGGTACATAACCAATTCTAGGAGGTCAGGGCAAGCTTCCTGGGAGAAATGCTGTCTATAGGTAGACACAGAGAGACAAGAATCAAAGCCTCTTCTGAAGAAGGGTTAAATAAATCTCAGGCAGATAGGCTATGCATGACCTGCTTCTTTTATCTGTCATTTTTGTTGTTCAGTTACTTGCTAAATTTTAAGAATTTTATATATATATATTATATTTATAATATATTATATATATAATATACATGTATATATATATATATATATATATATCTTCTACATATCAGTGCTCTGTCAATTCAGCCTAATTCTGGCAAAAGCATTAAGGACTTCAATATTTACCAGGTTTGAAAGGGGAGCAGTCCTTTGAATTAGAATTATTTGAAAAATGTAGGGCTATTTTGAAACAACTACCCAATTGAAAATGCATGGACACTATAACTATTATACTTGCAGATGCATACAAAAATACTTTTATTGTCACATGGGCACAAAGATGTATATTGAAAGCTGTTCACTGAAACAGTATTTATAATAATGAAACCTGGAAGCAACATATCTCTTAATGGGGATATAGACAAGTAAAGTACAACATATACATGTTATAGAAAAAAATGCAGCCTTCTCAAAAATGGGTAAGCTGTATAGATATAGAAAAGAAAAAAGCATTGTATAAATAATATGTACACTTTAATAAAAGTTGTACTAAATTTTAAATGTAATATAAATATCATACCTTCTATATATATAAAATTATCAAAAAGACTGAATTATAATACATGAAGAGTAGGAAAAAATAGTTGCACTGAGTTTTATATTTTCTGAATGTTTAAATCTTTCCACACAATATGTAATAATTATACTTTTAAAATGCCAGTAAGGTAATATATACAAATAGCTAATTAAAGCTTAATAAGAACTTTGGAAAAATATTTTTAATAAAGGTTTTACATACATCAGGGTTACAATTAAATTTAACATGCTTTTTATTTTGTCAATTTCTTTTATTTAAAAAATACTTAAACTAACTTCCTTTTTGGTTTTTCCTATTAAAAGAAAAAGCATTTTGCCCTCATAAAAGAAAATTAGTTTCAGATTACTAGTAATTATTTAGGTACTAATTAAAAAATAATGAATCTCAGTTACTAAATACACAAATAAGGGAGTTATATGAAACTGTGCAATAGTCATTCTATGGATAGTCATATTTAAAATAAAATGAAAAGAGACTAAAATATGCATTTGTGCTTTTAACTCTGAAAACCTGAATACCTATTCAACTGTTGATTCTGAGTATTTACAGAACTTTATTTCTTCTTTGGACATGCTTTCGCAGTTTTTACCTAATGTATACACATTTTTGCCTTGTTCTTAATAATTAAATATCTGAGAAAAAGATATTCAAAAAGTGGTTTTTTGTGCGTACTCATGATAAACAGTAACATAAAAAGTTACAGAGGTCGGGCCCAGTGGCTCACGCCTGTAATCCCAGCACTTTGGGAGGCCAAGGTGGGTGGATCACTTGAAGTCAGGAGTTTTAGACCAGCCTGGCCAACATGGTGAAACTCCATCTCTACTTAAAAAATAAATAAATAAATAAACAGGCATAGTGGCTCACGTCTGTAATCCCAGCTACTGGGGAGGCTGAGGTGGGAAAATCACTTGAGCCCAGGAGGCGGAAGCTGCACTGAGCCAAGATCACGCCATTGCCCTCCAGCCTGGGTGACAAAGCGAGACTCCATCTCAAAAAAAAAGAAAAGTTATAGAAATAAATATGATGATATGATTTACTGAAAGCAAGTCTCAAATGCCTAAAAAAGGCCAAACTTCCTTTGGTCTTTGGATATCATTCTGGAGGGTGGGTGAGTCTACTTTTGTTTCAAATGTGTTATTTTCATTTATTTTTGAGCAAAAATATCATTTTATAATTTACACTTATTGAACATAAATGTGGAAATACTACTAAATTGTCTCCACATGGAAAATTTCTTGTGACATGTATTTCATCTAACTTGTGAAGTTCACAACTATTTCAAAAAACAGTTAAGCTTGTTCCAAAAACTCACTGCCATCCCACCAAACACACATATGGACTTGAGAATAATTAGGCTTTCAGAAACCACTTTAGTATCCAATTAATTGTAGTTTTCTTCAGAAAGTGGTGTAAATCTGATTATATATAGTTGCTTCATGTAGTATAAATCTGATTATACACAGTTGTTTCATATAGTATATATCTGATGATATACAATTGCTTCATGTAGTTCAACTTGTTACTAGATAATCCATGTGTAATTGTCACAGAAAATCTTACGTGTACATTTGGACAATGTCTCTATCTCTGTTTCTTTCTCTCTGTTTCTCTCTCTCTCTCTCACACACACACACACAGTCCTTTACAATTACTTTGGGAAAAAAATCACAAAAAGGAAAAAATCATTAATCTGAGATTATAACATAAAATCCACAATTTGTCTGTAAACTATCTTTAAATCTATGTTTATACTTGAAATCTACTAGGCTTATGAGAGTCAAAGACTTCCAAGCTTTGAATATTCTTTTCACTTCAAAAGGAACTGAAAATCTAAATGTAATTTGGTACACCTTTTAAAATATTCACTGCTGCCTGCCAGCTAGCTGCAGGTTATTTTAGCTACTAGAAGCAGCACTAATTTGCAATATCTTTCTAAGACTATCTATAGGTAAAAATTTGACATTGGCTGACTCTAACCAATGTCAAGCTTTAGGATAGCAACGTAATCCCTAAAAGAAAAATGAGAAATAACCTAACTATCTAAACATCAAAAACAAATTAACCTTGCTTGCCCATTTTTAGGACAACATAACGGTTTCTTGAGATTTTTCAACATTTATGAAAAGATAAAAATTAAGATGAGTCATTTAATAGCATGCGTGCTTGAACCAATAAAATGATTTCTTATTTTATGAGTTGTTTTTAAAAAATGAGCCCAGATGTTTCAAATTATAAATAATTTGTCAATTTATGCATAAAGCCAAATTTGAAAAATGTGACTGGTCATTCCCATTAAGAAACTCAACTGAAAATCTGTTTCACTGAATCAAGCTTAAATAAGTAATTGTGTACTTAGATGTAGCTGAATTCTAAGAACTATTTGGACCACAACTTATAGACTATTTATATATTTTGCAAACTGTTTGCTGTTCTCTGACTTCAAGTAAGAGAGAGATATTAAGTGACAAATCATACAACGGAAAGGGAGAGCTATTAAGTGATAAATCATACAGTGGAAAGAGAGTTATATAGGAAGACTCTCCATTTTAACTCAGAATAAAATATGTAACCATCTTTAAGTTTTAATGGGGAGACCTGTGTGGCTGACTTTTTTTTTTCCCAATCTAGCTTCCTCATTTGGAAGAATGTTTTGTTTCTGTATATGAAAACTGAAGG
This sequence comes from Homo sapiens, assembly GCF_000001405.40. Lineage (NCBI taxonomy): Eukaryota > Metazoa > Chordata > Mammalia > Primates > Hominidae > Homo > Homo sapiens. Next base: position 1,655,004 of record NW_025791777.1, on the reverse strand, counting down.
ATTTCTATTCAAGGCCACTGTGGTAGACAGAATAATGGCTTACTAAAATGTCGACGTCCTAATTTCTGGAACCTGTGAAAATGTCACCTTCCATGACAAAAAGGACATTGTAGAAGCAATTATTTAAGGATCTAGAGATGAGAATATTAAGATGGGTTATTTGGGTGTTCCAAATGTGAACCCAAGTGGAGTTCTTGTAAGACTGAGAAGATGCCTTCGAGTTAGGAAGGAGATGGGAGATGTGTTATGAAAGCAGAGGTTGGAGTGACAGAATTTCAAGATGGAGAAAGGGGTTATAGCCAAGAATCCAAGCAGCCTCAAGAGAGTAGAAGCTCTTGATTTTCACCTATGTGACTCTATTTTAGTCTTTACTTGCAGAACTGTAAGATAGTAGATTTGTGGTGTTTTAATCCACTAAGTTGGTAGTAATGTGCTCCAGCCACTATGAGACAAATACAGTATACACACACACACACACACACACACACACACACACATATATGTGTGTGGGTGTGTATTAGGAAAAGTAGTAAATCTAAATCTAGACTTTCTCATTCTCACCTAGGTTCTTATATTTTTAATTATATAACTAGTTACATAACATTATTTATATAATACTAGTTATATAACTAGTGCTCTATTATTTTCCTTCTATTTTAATTTTTCTGTTAAAAGAAAGTTTAAGAACATATGTATCCATATATGTATATACACATGCAGAAATATATATCTGTGTATGTGTGTGTGTTTATGAGTATATATATTCAAAGTTCTGAAACGTTTTTCAAAGCAATGCTGGCAATGGAATTCTCATTTCTATTTATCTTTTCTGTGGAGGTTTAAGTATGACTTATTTGGGAATTGCTACATTATCCTGACAAAAATATAACAGTAGTGGCAATATATAATCCCCCAAAAATGTTATATCTCCAGATAATTTTAATGAGTTGGCATTGACTAGTATGAGAAATACAAGGCACAGAGAGTGATATGGTTTGGCTCTGTGCTGTCACCCAAATCTCATCTTGAATCGTAATTCCCATAATGCCCATGTGTTGAGGGGCCTGTTGGGAGGTGATTGGATCATGGGCACAGTTTCCCCTAGATGTTCTCATGATAGTGAATGAGTTCTCATGAGATCTGATGGTTTTACAAGTGTTTGACAGTGCCTCCTTCACATGCTCTCTCTCCCCTGCTGCCATGTAAGACGTGCCTGCTTCCCCTTCCACCATGATTGTAAGTTCCCTGAGGCCTCCCCAGCCGTGCAGAACTGTGAGTCAATTAAGCCTCTTTCCTTTGTAAATTACCCTGTCTCGGGTATTCTTTATAGCAATGTGAAAATGGATTAATACAGAGAGTCTACACATTTCTTTATATAAGATATACTTGTTTTCTGTTTATAGTTAGCATTTACAAAGTTTACAGTAAAATTTTTACTTACATTCATATAACATTTAAGTTATTCTCAAAATTTTATGCAACCATTTTAGATCTAAAGTGGACTTTGTTTTTTTCCATAGAATAAGTATTTTGTAGGACTTCTCTTCAATATTGGTGTGTAGAAAAAAAAATGTGAACTTCAAGTTTCAATCAATTAAACTTTTGCTTAAACTGAAAAACCATGCCAACACACAAAAAGGTCATCTGGGGTGTGCCATTACATTAGGATTACGTACTGGTACTACACACTCAGTTGTGTAGGACATAAGAATGGATTATACTTAAACCTCTAAAGGATGGCCTGAATTAAAGTGATAGAAAATGGGAGTTAATATTGCTAGTGTTACCATGTAAAATTTAATAATTATTTGCTTAATTATTGTCTTATTAATTTAATAGTTTCTAAAGAGAAATTTCATTAACAAATTAACAGGAACAGCTACAAAATTTGCAGTGTTCAGTGCAAAATTAAAATATAGGACATCTTCCTCAAAAATTATTTAAAACTTGACACGAATGACACCAAAGAATTAGCCAAGTGATGGGCCCCTGCAAATGAGCAGATCACATAAATCTATCCCTGAACATCAATTAGTTATAAAAAAATAAGAATTTAAGGCTGGGACCCATAGCCATAATTTTACCCATACCTGCATTTATATCTGTATTTATATACCTATAACAGTATTTAGATCTATTTATTCACAATCTCAGAATCAGATTGTAGAGACATTTAAAGATTAACTAATACAAACTTGTCCTCTTACAAAAGAGAAAACTGAGCCGCAGTGCTTTGATTGTATCAGTAGCTAATATTAGAAATAAAAGCAACACATTATCTTAAATATTTTATGTTTTTCTTATTACTACCAGTTTAGTGCTCCTATGTATTTTGTAGTACTTCTCTTCAATATTGGTGTGTAGAAAGAAAATGTGAACCCCGAGTTTAATCAATTAAACTTTGATTAAACTGAAAAACCATGGTCAATCCCAATACACAAAAGGGTCATCTGGGGTGTGCCATTGCATTAGGATTACATACTGGTACTATATGTTGCTGCTACATGCTCTTTCACTCAGTCGTGTAGGACAGAAGAATGGATTATACTTAAACTTCTAAAGAATGACCTCAATTAAAGAGATAGAAAATGGGAGTTAATATTGTTAGTGTTGCCATGTAAAATTTAATAATTAATATAATGTCTCATATATTCCGTGGTGATTAATTGGTGTGGAATATTTAAGCCACGAGAATAAGTACTATAAAAGCAAGAATTTATAATAGGGTCTTTAATGATCAGTTCTGTTCTTACACAGCTTCTCCCCACTCCTACTCCTTGGAAGCAACCAAGTGGTATGAGTTGGCCCCTACTCACCCCCTCCCTGGTGTCAGTGGACCACATCAGGGAAGTGAGGTTATTTTTTCACTTGGAGGAAACAAAGATATGTAACTCAGTACCCTACTTTTGCCATGAGGTTGCCAGTGGGTGGAGGGAGAAGACAAACTTCCACCTAACCAGTCTGCAAGAAGGAAGTATAAGTTAGTACTCTACTTTTGGTAGGATGGTATTAGTAGGTCCCATCAGGAAGATAAACACGCACACCCACCCAGCTCTCAGGTTACACATCAATAGGGAACCATCTACGAAATAATAAGAGAGAAAAATTCTCATAATATAAAAAAAAATTCAGGACACAATAAAAATCACTTATAAGACAAAAGAACTAGGAAATCATAACCTGAATGAGAGAAAGACAACAGACACCAACACAGACATAAAAAAGGGGTTGGGGCTGGGCGCAGTGGCTCACACCTGTAATCCCAGCACTGTGGGAGGCCAAGATGGGTGGATCACTTGAGGTCAGGAGTTCAAGACCAGCCTGTCCAACATGGTGAAACCCCGCCTCTACTAAAAATATAAAAAGTTAGCTGGGTGCATTGGCACATGCCTGTAATCCCAGCTACTTGGGAGGCTGAGGCAGGAGAATCACTTGAACCTGGGAGATGGAGGTTGCAGTGAGCCAAGATCATACCGCTGCACTCCAGCCTGGGTAACAGAGTGAGACTGTTTCAGACAAAAAAAAAAAAAAAAAAAAAGAGGTTGGAATTATCTAACAAGGATTTTGAAGAAACCATCATAAAAGTGTTTAAATAAGCAATTATATATTGTATTCTCTTGGAACAAATAAAAGTTAAAATTAAAAATAAATTCAATAATGACTTATAAGTTATAAAAAGTAAACATGAACTAAATAAAATTAAAATACAATAATGGAAATAATAGATGCAGAGGATGGTCACAAAAGAAGAGAGCACAGAGCAGAAGATGGAATCAGTGAATCTGAAAACATGCCAACAGAATTTACTGTCTGAACAAGAAGAAGAAAACCGATAAAAAAAAAATTTAACAGCATTTCAGGAAACTTTAGAACAATAATAAAAGAGCTAACATTCATAATCACAGGAGATATAGAAGACGAGGAGATAGAATGTGGGACTAAAAAACTATTAAAAAATAATGACTTCAACCTTCCCAAATTAGATGGAAGACATAAACCTAAATATTCAAGAAACAGAGCAAACCCTAAATAGAATACACCCAAATACATTCAATTTCTGGAAATGAAAAAAAAAAATTAAAAATCTTGAAAGCAAACAGAGAAAAATGGCACATTTCTTACAGAAAAACAATAATGTAAACCACAGCAGATTTTCCATCTGAAACCATGAAGGTTGGAAGGAAACAGATAATATTTTTGAAGTACTGAAAGAACAGAACTGTGAACTGTAAATTCAATACCCAGCAATAATATTCTTCAGGCACTAAAGTGACATAGAAAACATTGTCTAATGAAAGAATGCTAAGGTAATGTGTTGCTAACAAACTTACCTTTAAAGAATAAGTTCTCTAAACAGAAAAGAAATGATAAAAGAAGAAGGTTTGCAGCTTTTACAAACATCCATCTAAATGGGTAAAATTAAGCATAAATATAATGTATAATCAAACTTCTCTTAAGTTTTTAAGCCATTTCTAATAGTTGAAGCAAAAATTAATGACCTATCTGGTTAGATGCTCAAGGAACATAGAGGAAGTATTTAAGATAATTATATCTAAAAAGTAGTGATAGTAAAGAGACTCATATGGAAACAAGTTTTCTACACTTCACTCAAAGAGGTAAAACATCATTAACAGTAGATCTTGACATTACACATATATTATTTTAACCAGTGCAATTAATAAAACCAAACAAAATCATGTACAATCATGCACTGCATAACGATGTTTTGCTCAGCAGTAGACTGCATATATCATGGTGGTCCCATAAGATTATAATGGAGATGAATATTACCTAGTGACATTGCAGCTGAGCTGTCTTAACATCATAGTCTAACATATTTCTCACCTGTTTGTGGCAATGATGGTGTAAACAAACCTACTTCATTGCCAGTTATATAAAAGTGTAGCACATAAAATTCTGTCTAGTACTGATATTGTTTGGCTGTGTCCCCACCCAAATCTCATCTTGAATTGTAATCCTCATGATCCTCCCGTGTCAAGGGCAAGACCCGGTGGGAAGTGATTGGATCCTGGAGGCAGTTTCCCTCATGCTGTTCTCATGATAGTGAGTAAGTTTTCATGAGATCCGATGGTTTTAAAAGTGTTTGAAAATTTCTCCTAGACACACTCATTCTCTCCTGTTGCCTTTTGAAGAAGCCAACTGCTTTTATTCCACCATGATTGTAAGTTTTCTGAGGCCTCTCCAGCCATGCAGAACTATGAGTCAATTAACCCTCTTTCCTTTATAAATTACCCTGTCTTGGGTAGTATCTTTATAGCAGTGTGAGAACAGACTAATAGAGTAAATTGGTACTGGGAGTGGGGCACTGCTATAAAGATACTGAAAATGAGGAAGTGACTTTAGAACTGGGTATCGGGCAGAGGTTGGAAGTGTTTGGAGGGCTCAGAAGAAGACAGGAAGTTGTGAGAAAGTTTGAAACTTCCTAGGGACCTGTGGAATGGTTTTGACCAAAATGCTGATAGTGATATAGACAGTGAAGTCCAAGCTGAGGTGGTCTTGGATGGACAAGAACTCATTAGGAACTAGAGCCCAAAGATCACTGTTACTCTGCCTTAGCAAAGAGACTGGAAGCATTTTGCCCCTGTCCTAGAGATCTGTGGAACTTTTAATTTGAGAAACATTATCTCAAATTGGAACTTATGTTTAAAATGGAAGCAGGGCATAAAAGTTTGGAAAATTTGCAGCCTGACCATGCAGTAGAAAAGAAAAACCCATTTTTCAGGGGAGGAATTCAAGCTGGCTACAGAAATTTGCCTAAATAACAAGAAGCCAAATGTTATTACAGTAGCCAAAACAATGGTAAAATTTTTCTTGGGCGTATCAGAGACTTCCATGGCAGCCCTTCTCATCACAGACCCAGCAGCCTCTGAGGGAAAAATGGTTTCATGGGCTGGGCCTAGGGCCCCGTTGCTCTGGGCAACCTCAGGACTCGGTGCCCTGTGTCCCAGCTGCTGCTACTCCAGCTCCAGCCGTGGCTAAAAGGAGCCAATGTACAGCTCATCTGTTGATTCAGAGGGTGCAAGCCCCAAGCCTTGGAGGATTCCATATGGTGTTGGGCCTGAGGGTACACAGAAGTCAAGAATTCAGGTGTGGAAACCTCTGCCTAGATTTCATAGGTTGTATGGAAATGCCTGGATGTCCAGGCCGAGATTGGTTGCAGGGGTGGAGCCATCATGGAGAACCTCTGCTAGGGTAGTGCAGAAGGGAAATGTGGGGTTGAAGCTCCCACACAGAGTCCCCACTGGGGCACTGCCTAGTGAAGCTATGAGAAGAGGGCCACTGTTCTCCAGACCCCTGAATGGAAGATCCACCAACAGCTTGTACTGTGCACCTGGAAAAGCCACAGACACTCAATGCCAGCCTGTGAAGGAACTGCCCAAGGCCATGGGAGCCCACCCCTTGCATTAACATGCCCTGGATGTGAAACATGGAGACAAGGAGATTATTTTAAAGCTTTAAGTTTTAATGACTGCCCTGCTGGGTTTCAGACTTTCATGGGGCCTGCATCCCCTTTGTTTTGACTAATTTCTCCCATTTGGAATGGGAGCATTTATCCAATTCTTGTACCCTCATGGTATCTAGGAAGTAACTAACTTGCTTTTGATTTTACAGGCTTATAGGCCAAAACGTCTTGCCTTGTCTCAGATGAGACTTTGAACTGTGGGCTGTTGAGTTACTGCTGAAATGATTTAAGACTCTGGGGGACTGTTAGGAAGGCATGATGTTGGGTTGGAAATGTAAAAAATATGTGAGATCTGGGAGGGGCCAGGGGTGGAATGATATGGTTTGGCTCTATATCCCCACCCAAATCTCATCTTGAATTGTAATCTTCATAATACCCATGTGTTGAGGGCAGGATCTGGTGGAAGGTGATTGGATCATGTGGGCGGTTTCCGCCATACTGTTCTTACGATAGTGAGTGAGTTCTCAGGAGATCTGATGGTTTTGTTAAGTGTTTCACAGCTCCTCCTACACACAATCCTTCTCTCTCCTGTTGTCTTGTGAAGAAGATGACTGCTTCCCATTTCACCATGATTGTAAGTTCCATGAGGCCTCCTCAGCCATGCAGAACTGTGACTCAATTAAACCTCTTTCCTTTATGAATTACCCAATCTCGGGTAGTGTCTTTATAGTAGTGTGAGAATGGACTAATACAAGTACATTTTACTTAGTAATAATAATAAACAAATATATTACATTTTTGTGTATTTACTACACCATATTTTTTATTGTTATTGTAGTGTACACCTTCTACTTATTAAAAGAAATAGGCCCGAGGCGGGCAGATCACGAGGTCAGGAGATGGAGACCATCCTGGCTAACATGGTGAAACCCCATCTCTACTAAAAATACAAAAAATTAGCCAGGCCTGGTGGGGGGCGCCTATATTCCCAGCTATTCGGGAGGCTGAGGCAGGAGAATGGCGTGAACCCAGGAGGCGGAGCTTGCAGTGAGCCGAGATCACGCCACTGCACTCCAGCCTGGGCGACAGAGCGAGACTCTGTCTCAAAAACAAACAAAAAAAAAAGTAATAGGCAACTGTAAAACAGCCTCACAGTGGTCCTTCACGAGGCATTTCAGAGGGCATTGTTATCATAGATGTCGACAGATCCATATGCATTATTGGCCTAGAGGAGCTTCCAGTGGGACAAGATCTGGAGGTAGAAAACAGTGATGTTGATCATACTGACCCTGTGTAGGCCTACGCTAGTATGTGCATTTGTGTCTTTGTTTTTAACAACAACAACAAAAAAATTAAAAATTAAAAGATGTAAAATTACAAAAAAATCTTAGAGAATAAGGATATAAGGAAATAAAGTATTTCTGTGTACAATATGCGTTTTAAGCTAAGTGTTGTTACAAAAGAGTCAAAAAGTTAAAAATAAGTTAAAAAGTTTATAAAGTAAAAAAGTTACTGTAGGATAAGTTTAATGTATTTTGAAAGAAATAAGTTTCTTTATAAATTTTATAAATTCAGTGTTTATAAAGTCTACAGTTTTGTACAATGATGCCCTAGGCATTTACGCTCACTCACCACTTACTAACTCTCCCAGAGCAACTCCTAGCCCTGCAAACTTCATTTATAGTAAGTGCCCTAATCAGGTATACCATTTTTGATGTTTTGACTGGATTTTTTACTGTACCTTTTTTTTATGTTTAGATACACAAATATTTACCGTTGTGTTGCAAATGCCTACAGTATTCAGCACAGTAACATGCTGTTTAGGTTTGTAGCCTAGGATCAATAGGCTGTACCACATAACCTAGGGTGAGTAGTAGGTTATGCTATCTCTATTTACACATAGAATACACTATATGATGTTACACAGTGAAGAAATTGCCTAATGCATTTCTCAGAATGTAATTTTTGTCATTAAGTGATGCAACATTGTATTTAAAACACTATAAATAAATTAAGATGGAAACTTAACATGTTTATGTAACCCATTGGAAAGCAAGAAAAAGACACAGAGGAATAAGAAACAGAAACAAATAACAAAGTGGTAGACTTCAACCACAACATACAAATTGTTAAACATAAAAGGCCTATAGAAACCAACTAAAAAACATAGATTGGCAGAGTAGTTAAAAAAACAAAAATCAAAAACGAAAAAACATGGCCAACAATATTGTCCAAATTGCATTTGTACCCCATAAATAAATAATTTTTAAAATTCTGTCTATATAAAACTAACTTAAAATACAGCATAGGTAAGATAAAAGTAAAAAGAGAGAACCAGTAAAATAATTTAAAAATGCAAGTGAGGTTATAGTAATATATCAGCTACATAAATTTTATTTTATTTATTTATTATTATTATTATTATTATTATTATTATTATTATTATTATTATTTTGAGACAGAGTGTCGCTCTGTCACCCAGGCTGGAGTGCAGTGGAGCAATCTCAAACTCACTGCAAGCTCCACCTCCCAGGTTCATGCCATTCTCCTGCCTCAGCCTCCCGAGTAGCTGGTACTACAGGTGCCCACCACCACGCCCAGCTAATTTTTTTGTGTTTTTAGTAGAGACGGGGTTTCACCGTGTTAGCTAGGATGGTCTCGATCTCCTGACCTTGTGATCCTCCAGTCTCAGCCTCCCAAAGTGCTGGGATTACAGGCATGAGCCAGGGTGCCCGGCCCAGCTACATAAATTTTAAAAAGTAAAAAAAGTCAAATTGCGTTTTTAAATATTTTACATTCCATTGCCATTCAAAGAAATAACATTGTTTTCAGTACGATTAAGCAAGTATCATTAGACCTAGAAATAGCCACAATCATTTCTTAAAAAGATTATTAATATTTATTTATTTATTTATTTATTTATTTTTAGGCGGAGTCTCACTCTGTTCACCAAGCTGGAGTGCAGTGGTGCAGTCTCAGCTCACTGCAATTTCTGCCTCACCCTCCCAAGTAATTGGGATTACAGGCATGTGCCACCACATATGGCTAATTTTTGTATTTTTAGTAGAGACTAATTTTTGTACTTTTAGTAGAGACAGGGTTTCACCATATTGGCCAGGCTGGTCACAAACTCCTGACCTCAGGTGATTGGCCCGCATCAGCCTCCCAAAGTGCTGGGATTACAGGCATAAGTCATCGTGCCCAGCTAAGATTACTAATATTTATAAGCTCTACCTTCTTTCTTGGAGAAATGACTTTATAATTTCACTTTCTAATTCAGTTACCTGTTGAAACTAAATTAAAATATATTCATATGCAAAATGCAAGTAAATAAAAACAGCAGCTTTCTCTATGCTAAAAGGAAGTTCCTTTGGAGCTCATTTCCTTGACAATGCAAGAAAGTACTTCACTGCACTATCTTCATTATGCAAATAAAGGTGCATTTTAGCTCTTTGAAGAAGAAGAGGAAGAACATGTCTCTCAAATGGCAGGAAAGAACAAATTTCCTTAAGGAAGAGTGAGGGAAAGTTCATCAACACCAACCCTAGGTACATCTTCATTCAGACTTGAAAAGCTTTTGAATAGCGTCTGTTTATTCCTGTTAGAACTGAACTGGCAGGAAAAGACAATGGAGAAGCCACAAAGAGGAGTAGCTAGGTAGCAGCATTCAGGTCCACAATGCCTGGATTTCATTATTATTATTCTACTGTATCTTCAGGCAGTTTATGTAAATCATGTTATTGAGTTCTCTCATCTGGAAGATGAGAGTACTAATAGTTCCAGCGTTCTTACATTAGTGCTGCTGCCATTAGTTATCATCATTTAAGTGTCTGTTCTTATTGTTCAAAGAGTGACTGGCAGTTGAGAGTCCCTGGGACCTGAAGTAGGGAGGTAGAGAATTTTGCATTGGAGTATACTGTTATCTTAACCTTGGAGGCCTGAGTGTTCTTAGGTAAAAGACTGCTTTGGAGGCTGCAAATGGAACTAGAATCCCACCAGATCACAGCCATCTGACTTGGTTGCATTTTTATGGAAACCAGCGTGTTGAGGATGTGAGACTGATATAAAAGCACTAGGATATTCACAGGGTAAAAGTCAGGAGGATCATAACAGCACAGTACTAGAGAACCAGTACGTAGTGGTGTGATGAATGAAAGCCACTGACATAACTTTCGCATCTTGTCTTCCTGTATTCTTTCTTTCTGTGACAGTTGTTGAGATCATGACCTCTTCTGGAATGGTGTTCTCAGAAGTCCTTGGACAATCAGGGTGTACTAGGAGAAAACATGCTGTGAGATGGGATGAAAGTCTTCAGGATGGACACTATACTTTCTGTTATTGGAGGATTCGGTAGTTTGAATAAGCGTTTGAATGAATAAAATATTTGAGTTGAGGACTAAATTCTGATTTTTTTTTTTTCATCTTGCCCAAATTCCTATTTAAAGAAACTGGGAGTCAGCCCTACGAATGATAACATCTCTTTACATGGGTTTTTTATTAACCCTATATAATGTGGCTTGCTTTCCAACCTGACTCTGGTACAGCATCACATAACAGACAGCAGACCCTGAAGGATATAAAAATATTTTGCCCTAAAATATATTTCTTTGATGTCTTTTGAAATGGCTGTTGCAAGGCCAGCAAACTGAGGTAGAGGAAATTTGCATCTATGGAGAATCTTCATTAATGCAGCCATGCTTCCCCTTTCTATGCCTTTCCAGGACCTAGGAGTGATTGAGAGTCTGATACCTTTAAAGGTCTGAAAAGAAACATTTACCATCTATTCTCTCTGAGGGCCACCTATGAGGCTTCATCTACTTAATAAGATCCTTGGTCTTTCCCCCACTCTTATCTGAACTCAGGCATTCCTTTCTATCGATTTCAAGACTTTAGACGATAGCATAACTCTCTCAACCAATTGTCAACTAAAGGATCCCTAAAAGCCCCTTATGACGTACAAGCTCCTACCCTGACCTACCTGCAATTACCTGCAGTTGGTTGTCTCCTTGGAATGTATAAAACCAAAGTGTAACCCGGTTGCCTTGGGCACGCTTTCAGAACCTCTTGAGATAGTGTAACCCAGGCCTTGGTCACTTATACTGGCTCTGAATAAACCTCTTTAAATATATTTTGACAGAATTTGGTTTTTGTGTATTTTTCTGTGTATTTCTACCTCTGAGAAGAGGAGTAATTTATACTCTTTAAAAATCATGGTCAGGTATGACTGGTGCTAGAATGAGGATGAAGGGAAGAGAAAGGGAAGAAATAATTCTCCACTCTTTGTTTCCAATTTTAGTTCTTTAAAGTAAAAGTACAAAACATTTTGTAGAGATGTAGTTTGTGGTGGCATGGTTGAAAAACTTCTGCAGTTTATGATTCCTCCACTACAGTGTGATAATGTTTTAAATAGCATTTAAAATGTAGATTCTGTCCAATCCTTACAATTAACTTTTTTATTGTTTGGAATCCATGAAGTTGGTATATGCATGAGCAGATACATATTTATTTAAGAAAAAAAATTAGGCCTTACAGAAAATTGGTTTCTCAGAGACATGATAAAAGTTACCAGATAATGTCTCTCAGACTATATCTATGAAAAAATACATAACCAAATAGACACCAATTGCAAATGAATTAATTACATTGAAATTCTAATAACTTTCATTTCCTAAACTGACATTGATGGAAAAGAATTCTAAGATATAAAATAAGCTCTACTTCATCCTGCTTTCAATAGCACATGATTTAATCAGAATATATAAGTAATACTGTTGAGCACATAAATATTATTTTCATTACTTGATGATAATTATGACTATTTTCATTGCTATAATTTTGGTCATGCCATATTGATTAGCAATAAAATATATACTTAGCTAGAGAGGCAGCTAATCCAAAACTTTTGGGATTTCTTTTTTTTTTTAGATTATTGGTGCTCCTCCTCCTGTCATTGAGGTTAAAATTAAATGTTACATATTCCTTCTCTGTGTATGTGTATCTTATTTCCTCATATTCTACCTCTTCAGAGTAGTGTGTGTGAGTGCATGCACACACACTTGCATGTGAGAGCTTCTAATATCTAAATTAATGTTGAATCATTATTCAGAAACAAAGAGAGCTAACTGTTATCCTGACTTTATTCTTTATGAAGAAAAATACAGTGATTCCAAGTTACCAAGTTAGTGCTGCTTTATTTATAAATGAAGTAACATTTTACAAGTTGTGCATAAGTTAAAATTCAGAAATAAAACTTCATCCTAAAACTCTGTGTGTTGCTTTAAATAATCAGAGCATCTGCCTACTTAATTTTTTTTGTGTGGGTGCACAATAGATGTTTAATGAGATCCTGTCATCTGTCTGCTTTTTTATTGTAAAACAGGAGGGGTTTTAATCCTGGAGGAACAACTGATGTACCTCTGAAAAAGAGAGGGATTAGTTATTAATTGAATTGAGGGTTGTCTTGTCTTAGTAGCTTTTATTCTCTAGGTACTATTTGATTATGATTGTGAAAATAGAATTTATCCCTCATTAAATGTAAAATCAACAGGAGAATAGCAAAAACTTATGAGATAGATGAACATTGTGTGAGTGGCATGGTTTAATTTGTTTGGAAGAAGCACTTGCCCCAGAAGATACACAATGAAATTCATGTTATTGAGTAGAGTAGTAATACAGTGTGTTCCCTTGTGAAGTTCATAACCAAGAATTATTTTAGTAGTGGATAGGTAGGCTGAATAATTGACTTCCTATCATTTTCAGGTTCTGTGTTTGATTTTTTTTACATATTAATTTCTTTGATCCACATTAAGCTCAGTTATGTATTTCCATTTTATAAATGAAAAAAAAAAAATAGGCACTTGCAAATGTCAGATCACTTGCCTGTGGTCATTCGGGTAGAGATTTGTGAAGCTAAGTTGGTCTTAATCAAATGTCAAGCTTTTTTTTTTCTTATAAAATATAGATTTTAATATGAGTTTTAAAATAAAATTAATTAGAAAAAGGCAAATTACTCAATATATAAAATGTATTGCATTTGTAATAGGTAGGTATTTCATTTTCTAGTTATGGTGGGATATTATTCAGACTATAATTCCCAATGAAAAAACTTTAAAAAATGCTAGTGATTGCACATTTAAAACACCTTTTAAAAAGCATTGAGAGCTTATAAAATTTTAATAAGTGATCGAACCAAATTTGAAGAGAAAAGAAGAACCCAGAGAGGTAAGGATATAACCTTACCAGTTGCAATTTGCCGATCTCTACAAATATTAATATTTATTTTGACAGTTTCAGGGTGAATGAGAAAGAAACCAAAACCGAAGACTAGCATATGTTAAGTCTTCTTAAGGAGCCCACCCTTAAAAGATTGAGATGACCAAATCTTATACCCTCAGCATAAGGTGAACCAGACAGACCTAAAGCAGTGGTAGCTTGGATCCACTACTTGGGTTTGTGTGACTGCGTGACTCAGGTAATCTCAAAAATTGAACATTTTTTTAAGGTGGTCCTACTCGTATGCCCAAGTGTTAGGGAGAAGCAAATCTGAATGCTTTATAAAAATACCCTGAAGCTAAATCTTACAATATTCTCAAGAACACAGTGAAACAAGGCAAAATAAGTTAAAATCAACAAAAACAACATGAAACATAATTAGACCCACAAAGACTTCAAACATTGGACAATATCAGAGAAAGATAATAAATATTTTACTCTTTAAAAATTTAGTTAAAAGCTTAAACTAATTGTAGAGAAAAAACTGTGTTAGTATTATATTGTGGATGAAATAAGCAAAACATTTAAAATACAAATGTGATTACTTAAATTAAATATAATAGATAATTTACCACCAGATTAGATACCATTGAAGGAATAATTAATATACTGAAATACAGGTCAGTAGAAGTTTTTTTCAATTCAGCATGGAGATGTAAAAAATGAAAATTAATGCAAAAAATAAGGGCACAAAAAGAAATGAGTAATTTTGATCAGAAATGTATTAAAATTAATAAACTGGAAATTTGACATTTAAAAAAAAGCATTGTCATCCAAGTAGATGTGTCTATTAAATAGTTGTTCTCATATCCAGTAATGTAATTATTATTCCCCCTCATGCAGTTCAGATTCTGGGGTAATCTTTAGACATCAGTTTTATCTTTTATATTATTTATTCTGTTTACTACATTTTATTTTGCTAATGATATTTTTAATTTCTGACATTCTGGAGTATTGCTTGTAAAAGGTATTTTTAAAAATATTTTATGGTTATTTTTGTGATTCCTATTCCTGTATGGACACCAAGGCTATTGACATTTTCTTTAGTTTCTTCTGTTAATTCTATTTTCTTAGTGTTTATATCATTTCATAGATAGGATATTCTTTATTTTTTATTTTTATTTAAATATTTGGTGATTCTTGGTTTTCTCAGCCATCTATTGTCAAGTGTTCTTATTAAGCATTGTTATTAAATAAAGATTATTTCCTCTAATCACATGAGAATCTTTATTTCCCCCAAGTAATTGAAAATTGCAATGCCATGCTGCCATGTGGTACAGCATGGGTTTGGGCTTGCTTTCTTCTTTTTTTTTTAACTTTTATTTTAGGTTTGGGAGTACCTGTGAAAGTTTGTTATATAGGTAAACTCGTGTCATCAGGGTTTGTTGTACAGATCATTTTGTCACCTAGGTACCAAGTACTCAACAATTATTTTTCCTGCTCCTCTGTCTCCTGTCACCCTCCACTCTCAAGTAGACTCCAGTGTCTGCTGTTCCCTTCTTTGTGTCCATGTGTTCTCATAATTTAGTTCCCCACTTGTAAGTGAGAACATGCAGTATTTTCTAGTATTTGGTTTTTTGTTCCTGTGTTAATTTGGCCAGTATAATAGCCTCCAGCTCCATCCATGTTACTGCAAAGAACGTGATCTCATTCTTTTTTATAGCTCCATGGTGTCTATATACCACATTTTCTTTATCTAAACTCTTATTGATGAGCATTGAGGTTGATTCTATGTCTTTGCCATTGTGCATATTGCTGCAATGAACATTTGTGTGCATGTGTCTTTATGGTAGAATGATATATTTTCTTCTGGGTATATATGCAGTAATGCGATTGCTGGTTGGAATGGTAGTTCTGCTTTTATCTCTTTGAGGAATTGCCATGCTGCTTTCCACAATAGTTGAACTAACTTACACTCCCACTAACAGTGTGTGTTTCCTTTTCTCCACAACCTGCCAGCATCTGTTATTTTTTGACATTTTAATAGTAGCCATTTTAACTGGTATGAAATTATATTTCATTGTGGTTTTAATTTGCATTTCTCTAATGATCAGTGATATTGAGTTTTTTTTTTTTTTCACATGCTTGTTGGCTACATGTACGTCTTCTTTTGAAAAGTGTCTGTTCATGTACTTTGCCCACATTTTAGTGGGGTTGTTTTTCTCTTGTAAATTTGTTTAAATTCCTTATAGGTGCTGGATTTTAGACATTTGTCAGACGCATAGTTTGCAAATAGTTTCTCCCACTCTGTAGGTTGTCTGTTTATTTTGTTAATAGTTTCTTTTGCTATGCAGAAGCTCTTAATAAGTTTAATGAGATCCTGATATGTTTAGGCTTTGTATCCCCACCCAAATCTCATCTTGAATTATAATCTCCATAATCACCACATGGAGAGACCAGGTGGAGGTAATTGAATCTGGGGGTGGTTTCACCCATGCTGTTCTTGTGATAGTGAATGAGTTCTCACGAGATCTAATGGTTTTATGAGGGGCTCTTCCCAGCTTTGCCTGGTACTTCTCCTTCCTGCCGCCTTGTGAAAAAGGTGCATTGCATCCCTTTCACCTTCTCCTATAATTGTAAGTTTCCTGAGGCCTTCCCAGCCATGCTGAACTTCAAGTCAATTAAACCTTTTTCTTTATAAATTACTCAGTCTCTGGTGGTTCTTTATAGCAGTGTGAAAATGGACTAATGAAGTTCCCATTTATGAATTTTTGCTTTTGTTGCAATTGCTTTTGACATCTTAGTCATGAAATCCTTGCCTGTTCTAAGTCCAGGATGGTATTGCCTAGGTTGTCTTCCAGGGTTTTTCTAATTTTGTGTTTTGCATTTAAGTGTTTAATCCATCTTGAGTTGATTTTTGTATATTGTGTATGGAAGGGGTCCAGTTTCAATCTTTTGCATATGGCTAGTTAGTTATCCCAGTACCATTTATTGAAAAGACAGTCTTTTCCCCATTGCTCGTTTTTGTCAGTTTTATTGATGATCAGATAATCATAGCTGTGTGGCTTTATTTCTGGGTTCTCTATTCTGTTCTATTGGTTTATGTCCCTGTTTTTGTGCCAGCACCATGCTGTTTTGGTTAACATAGCCCTGTAGTATAGTTTGAGGTCAGATAGCCTGATGCTTCCAGCTTTGTTCTTTTTCTTAAGATTGCCTTGGCTATTTGGCCTCTTTTTTGGTTCCACATGAACTTTAAAACAGTTGTTTCTAGTTTTGTGAAGAATGTCATTGGTAGTTTGATAGAAATAGCATTTAATCTGTAAATTGCTTTGTGCAGTATGGCCTTTTAATGATATTGCTTCTTCCTATCCATGAGCATGATATGTTTTCCATTTTGTTTGTATCCTCTCTGATTTCTTTGTGCAGTGTTTTGTAATTCTCATTGTAGAGATTTTTCACCTCCCTGGTTAGTTGTATTTTACCCTAGATATTTTATTCTTTTTGTGAAAATTGTGAATGGGATTGCCTTCCTGATTTGACTGCCAGCTTGGTTACTGTTGGTTTATAGAAATGCTAGTGATTTTTGTACATTGATTTTCTTTCTAAAACTTTGCTGAAGTTTTTTTTATTAGCAGAAGGAGCTTTGCGGCTGAGACTATGGGTTTTCTAGATATAGAATCATGTCAGCTTCAAATAGGGATAATTTTACTTCCTCTCTTCCTATTTGGATGCCCTTTATTTCTTTCTCTTGCCTGATTACTCTGGCTGGGATTTCCTATGTTGAATAGGAGTCATGAGGGAGGGCATCAAATCTACACATATCAAATACTAACCTTGAATGTAAGTGGGCTAAATGCCCCACTTAAAAGGTAAAGGGGGGCAAGCTGAATAAAAAAGCAAGACTCAATGGTATGCTGTCTTTGAGACCTATCTCACATGTGATGACACCCATCGGCTCAAAATAAAGGAATGGAGGAAAATCTACCAAGCATGTAGAAAACAGAAAAAAGCAGGGGTTGCATCCTAATTTCAGACCAAACAGACGTCAAACAAACAAAGTTCAAAAAAGACAAAGAAGGGGCCGGGAGTGGTGGCTCACACCTGTAATCCCAGCACTTTGGGAGGCCAAGGTGGGCGGATTACAAGGTCAGGAGATCGAGACCATCCTGGCCAACATTGTGAAACCCCATCTCTACTAAAATCCAAAAAAAAAAAAAAAAATAAGCTGGGCTTGGTGGTGTGTGCCTGTAGTCCCAGCTACTCGGGAGGCTGAGGCAGGAGAATCACTTGAACCCGGGAGGCGGAGATTGCAGTGAGCTGAGATTATGCCACTGCACTATAGCCTGGCGACAGAGTGAGGCTCCGTCTCAAAAAAAAAAAAAAAAAAAAAGACGAAGGGCATTACATAATGATGAAGGGTTTTACTCAACAAGAAGACCTTACTAACCTAAATATATATGCACCCAACACAGGAACACCCAGATTCATAAAGTAAGTTCTTAGAGTACAAAGAGGCTCCCACACAATAATAGTAGGAGACTTTAACACACCACTGATAGTCATAGACAGATCATCAAGGTAGAAAATTAACAATGATATTCAGGATCTGAACCCAACATTCCACCGAATGAGTCTGATAGACATCTACAGAACTCTCCATCCAAAAACAACAGAATATACATTCTTCTCATCTCCACATGGCACATGCTCTAAAATTGACCACATAATGCCTTTCTTTTCAGTGGTCCATATGTAAGTCTTTTGAAAGTGGCAGCATCTCTACTGCTCATGCTTGTTGCAAGGAACTCTACTGAATACAAGGAACTTTACTAATCTCTAATGCTTGTGAGTAGATTCTGAACTCATCATTTAGAAAGCTAAACTGGGGGCTTTCTTCCCAGAGCAAAGACATAAAACAAACCTCAATTGAGCGTGGGACAGGGAGTCATGTGCTATAAATTTCTTGGACAGTTCTTATTCTATGGACCAATTACCATTCCCTTGTATCTCTAATTTTGGGATTATTTCTGGATTAAAACACAAAAAAAATCAGACTGTAAAAAGTCATCATTTCTACCAGTGTGAGAATATGTATTCCTCACCTTTACTGGGATTCACTGCCAGTATATATGCAAATGACTTATACACACACATACACACACGCACATACACACACACGTGTGTGTGTGTAGGTATGTCTGTAATAGGTATTTATATGTTTGCCTGTCTTTCTATTAGAATTGAGATACAGCAAAATGCACAGAAATTAAGCATTCAATTTAGTAAGTTTTCACAAATGTACATATTTAATCAATATCTCAATCAACACAAAAACCATTGTT